>NC_000010.11:13797878-13949393 GCF_000001405.40 Homo sapiens | reverse complement strand
GTACTTGAAAAGTTAACTTTTAGAAAATGCAAGTAGAAAACTTCTCATTACCCCATCCTATTCTTTCTTTCTTTCTTTTTTTTTTTTTTTTTGATCACTAGAACCTAGAACTTGGGAGCTCGTCTCACAGATTCACCCATACCAGGGCCAACAACGTCTTTCACCCTGATTGTCAATAGCAGAACCTGCCTTTACTGAGTTTATCGATCTTGAAAGTGAAAGGCCTTTAAAAGTGGTTACACAGTCACTGAAGACCATCCATTGGCATGTGTTGAATTGTATTTATTCCATAAAAGATTTAATCAACAATGAAAATAAACAAACTCCAGTTCCTAAGCACTCACAACTGCCCATACTTTAGGTAGCTTGAACATGATTGCAAATGCCATAATATTTGAATGATCAAATAAATTGTTTGCATTTTAACTTATTAAAAATCCTCTCGGCTGGGCGCAGTGGCTCACACCTGTAATCCCAACACTTTGGGAGGCCGAGGCGGGCAGACCACGACATCAAGAGATCAAAACCATCCTGGCCAACATAGTGAAACCCTGTCTCTACTAAAAATACAAAAATTAGCTGGGTATGATGGTGCGCACCTGTAGTCCCAGCTACTAGGGAGGCTGAGGCAGGAGAATCGCTTGAACCTGGGAGGCGGAGGTTGCAGTGAGCCGAGACTGTGCCACTGCACTCCAGCCTGGGTGACAGAGTGAGACTCTGTCTCAAAAAAAAAAAAAAAAAAAAATCCTCTTTTCCATGGGCTTATCAATTCTCCTCATCCCCACCACCTGCTCTCTGCTCAGACCCTTTTTGCCCATGCTGTACCCTAGAGCTGCCTGCAAAATGCTCCTAACCCCTCCCCATCTTCATCCAGTCATCTTCACCTTCATTCCGTTTATCCATCATTGTATAAGTCACTTGTCTGCTGAGATATCAGTACCTTTAGTGGCTCTTGATTGCCTATTTTAGGGCCAAAGATTTCAGCAGCAAAGACCTTTGGCAGAATTCTATACTAAACTCCGAATATGTAAAATAGATTTCAGGCTGGGCACAGTGGCTCACACCAGTAATCCCAGCACTTTGGGAGGCTAAGGAGGGAGGATCGCTTGAGCCCAGGTGTTTATCATTGCATTAAGCTATGATTGTACCACTGCACTCCAGCCTGGGCAACAGTGAGAATCCTGTATCTTAAAAATATATATATATATTTCAACATGACATTTTAGTAGCATAAGTGAATAACATTTATTTATTACAAGTCCATTTAATGAGAACCATATTTGCTTGCACAATAACAAGAAAATCCTGGAACACACTGATAAGGTGTTTTTTTTTTTTTCAATTTACTTTTTATTTTTTATAGAGGCAAGATCTCCCTATTTTTGCCCAGGCTGGTCTTGAATCCCTGGCCTCAAGCGATCTTCCCACCTTGGCCTCTCAGTGCCGGAATTACAGGCATGAGCCACTATGCCCCGCCTGATAAGTTTGTTTTATTTTTTTGCTTATTTTTTTTGAGTGGACATGCACAGGCCAGAATATTTGAAAAGGACAGGACAGAGTTACTCTTCTTGACTCTGGATGACATGGAGAATAACCATCCAATGAGGCATTTGGGAAAGTTTCAAACAGATCCAAAGTGATGGCAGAAGGATCTATGTTCTTTACCAAGACATGCAGGAGGAGAAGCACAGATTAAACACTGGAGGCTTCTGCTGTACTATGGCATGTATTTGAGTGAAAATGTTAGACATGGTGTATATATATGTGTGTGTGTGTGTGTGTGTGCACGTGTGTGTGTGTGTATGCATGTTGCATGTGTGTCTCTTTTATAAATGATAACTAAATCCAGTTTTGACAGACTCCCCTAGGCATCCCGTATGACCACAGATCTTGGTTTGGTCATCCAAGACCTTCCCAACTCCACTCCATCTTACCACAGAGAGGGGTAACTGAGTGCCCTGGTTTTAAGTCAGTGGACTCTGCAACAAGCTCCCCTTGTTTAAAATCCCACTCAATTATTTACTGTTTGTGAGATTTTGGGCAATTCAGCCTCTGTGTCTCAGTTTCCTTGTCTGTTTAATTGGGAATGATAGCGGTCTGGTGAAGATTAAGTGTATATAGAGAGTGCTAATATCTCCAAACTTGCCTCTTTCTCCTAGCGCATCCATAGCATCCACGTAGTCAACTGCTCTATTCCTTGTCCCCAAAACCCCTGGGACACTCAGGTCTCCGCTTTCCTACCTGAAGTGTCCGTAGCCTGGAAGGCTGCAGGCTAATGCAATTCTTCCTTTCAGGTGGTTAGATTCCTACCCAGCCTTTCAGACATGCCTTGATGGAAGGTTTCTGTGATGACCTTACATAACCCACAACAATCTCCTCTCTGAAGTCCTACAGCTCAGGTACCTTCCTGAAGCCTCCCAAGCTTCCCCATATGAGCGCTCCTCTTGTCTATAATCATTTGTCCCATGTCTGCCTTCCTCTTCTTTGTGCCATAAGCTCCCCGAGGTCAAGTCTGCTGTTTATTGAAGCATGGCCAGCTCACAGCACTCAGCCAGGTATAGGACAGGCATCGAGAGATAGACACATGGAGACAGACAGACAGACACACAGACAGAACACATCACCCATTTGACACACACCTTACCTTGCCAGTTCTTTCTTTACAACCTTTATAGGCTGGCCATGCTGGTCTTCAGTGGACCAATCACTTGGCAAGGAGAAGGCGAGTAAAAGAACAGAAGTGGAATTTGGAAGATGTGAAAGCAAAGATGAGAAAAAAAGAAAAGATTGGGCAATTTTCCCAAGGTAAAGGATCACTAAAATGTGAGTTGGTGGCCGAGTCTACACCAGAGTTTCCAGACTGACCCAAGGGAGTGGGATGTGTTCAGTGTCTAAAAGACACATGTACATGACTTGGGAAAGTTGCATTAGGTAAATAAACAAGTGACGATGACATAGGAGCACCTAGAATTTTTTTTATGGTGAGAAAACACTCCCTTCTCCTCCTGAAGTCTCTAGCGTTCGCTGACTTGGTTGACAATATGGCTGAGGTAGGGACAGGGATTCTGAGTAACGAGCACCTCTTTCAACTTCCTGGTTCTAGCCTTAGCCCTCAGGGCATCAGAAAGATTCTTGCGTTCAGGGAAGCATCTGCCTAAAGAGTCCAGCAGAGTTCATTCTCCTAGCTCTGAGGTGCAGGAAGAACTTGCATGTGCCTCTGACTTCACTGGCTCTCCCCAGGCATCTGGGTCAGGAAAGGGACATAAACCAGTGGCATCCCTTGATTGTCCCCCTTTTGATCCCAACTCATAGTTGTGAAGTCCATAATTATTCCACAGAGGGGCAGTCCTGTTTTTTACTTCCCTAACTACGTGCTGGTGCATTGCTCTGAGACGCAAGAAGGCAACTCCTAGGGAATGTGTAAATAATGCCTGTGCTCTGATTGATGGCTTTGTTTGCAGCCAGAGGAAGTTGAAACTGGGGCCTCTGACCCTGGCCTGGTCTGGCTTCTTCCTTGAAGCCTGCAGTCATGAGCAAGGAAATGAAGGATCACTTCCTGGGGATAACTGGATCAGGAGAAAGCAACAACAGCCAAATGCATAGTTCCCTCTCACTGTTTAAATGGGGAGGTGGCAAGATTTCCTGGGGTGACCCTGGCTCTATAATCAAGTGAGCTTTATTAAATGGCCGCATGGAGCATGTAAATTCTCCCAGCCCAGCTTATATAACACACTTTGTGAGAGGCGGAAACCAGTTCGAATTTGAACCTCTGCAGAGCCCTGCCTGGTAGATTTGCAGACAGCGGTGCCCATGAGACATCTGAAACTTTACGACTACATATTTAAGCATTTATGAGACTTGAACTGTGTTCCATTAAAATGGAAAAAAAAACTGCAAGGAAAAAAATCCTGAGACTTCCAGCAAGGGTAATTAGCCCCAAATGTTTCATAAAGGATTTGATAGCATTCTGGTTGTAAGCCCCTTTCCCCGGTCTGTCATAGGAGAGAAAGAGAAGAAAGAAACCTATTACAAATTCACCATTACTTAAAAAAAATCACATGACAAAACCAAGCAGCTGGACCCAGGTTTAGAAGAAGACTAACCATACAGACCCTATCCCAAAGTGACATTAAAATTTTACTGGAGAGAAAATATTTAAGATATGGACTTGGTTGTTTTTGTCATACCTACCAAAGAAATCCCTTCCTTTTTATGCCCCTGTTCATTCACTCAACTTCTTCCCTTTTGTTTCTAAGTTTGGCACTAGTCCGGCTGGCTTAGTGCCTTCCAACCTCCCACCAGGCCTGGGTCTATTTCTCTGTTACTCCCATTGTACTGTTGCTGGTGGAGAGACCGGAGGGGCGATCACTGGAATAGGAGATGTCCACGTAAAGCCAGTGTTAATCCCTGCCTAGGTGACATCACATAAATATGGCTCAACCTGATCACACTGAACTCCCCATGAAGAGGGCCACACCACAGGGTTCCCATCAGGCTATGTCTGGCAAAGACTCAGCTATTCCGTGTTCTTCATTGGAAGGATAAGAAGTTGCTTTCTATCTGACACTGTGTGCACAGACAGAGAAGGCACGTATCATTAGAATGTATTTTTTAAGCCTTTCTTTTTTACGGAAGGAACTTTCAGAATGATAAGTCAGCAAATGAGGCAGCATTAGTATGCAGAAATAGCTACAAATATATAACAGAAGAGTTTTCTATCTAATGTCAGGGAAAACACCTTGAATCTTATGCAGACCTGTCATGTTCTGTTGAAGGGTGTATGGTCCCAGTGGTCCCCAACTTTTTTGGCACCGGGGACCTGATTCATGGAAGACAATTTTTCCAAGGACTGAGGTTGGGGGATGGTTTCAGGATGATTTAAGCACATTACATTTATTTCTATTATTATTACATTGAAATATATAATGAAATAATTCTACAACTCAACATAATGTAGAATCAGTGGGAACCCTGAATTTGTTTTCCTGCTACTAGATGGTCCCACCTGAGGGTGATGGGAGACAGTGACAAATCATCAGGCATTGAATTCTCATAAGGAGCATGCAGCCTACATCCCTGGCAAGCACAGTTCACGAACAGGGTTCGTGCTCCTGTGAGAATCTAATGCCACTGCTAATCTGATGGGAGGTGGAGCCCAGGTGGTAATGTGAGCAATGGGGAGTGGCTGTAAATACAGATGAAGCTTCACTCTCTCACGGCTCGCCTCCTGCTGTGCAGCCAGTCTGTGGCCCAGGGGTTGGGGATCCCTGCTACATAAGATCCCCAAGAAATAAAGAGACAGCTCTGATGGTTTAGGTATTCACCTGCCCAAAGACAGACCTGGACAGATGGTCTCTTTTGGTTTGTCCAACTCTTTAATTCTGTTGTCTCTGAATGGTAGGAACATATCGAGTGCCCTTACTGATGGCCGGAGTTATTTATAGTCTCATCTTTTACGCTGTCACCTTGAAGGTGCCTTTCTTCCCACTGAGCAGGGCCACTCTGCTCCAGTTCATCTGAGTCAGACTTTCCACAGCAATTTATCCGATCCACACCAACCTATTTCCATACCAAGTATTTTTAAAGACATAAGCAATATTTGGTTTCTTTGTTATCTAAACAGAAGGAAAATCATTTGCTTTAAAGTTACATGCAAGGTAACACTCTTTGGTGTGGGTCTACTTTTCTTTCTTTCTTTCTTTCTTTTCTTTTTCTTTTTTTTTTTTTTTTTTTTTTTTTTTTTTTTTGAGACAGAGTCTTGCTCTGTCGCCAGGCTGGAGTGCAGTGGTGTGATCTCACCTCACTGCAACCTCTCCCTCCCAGGTTCAAATGATTCTCCTGTCTCAGCCTCCCAAGTAGCTGGGACTACAGGCACGTGCCACCACGCCCAGCTAATTTTTGTATTTTTAGTAGAGACAGGGTTTCACCATGTTGGCCAGGCTGGTCTAGATCTCTTGACCTTGTGATCCATCCACCTCAGCCTCCCAAAGTACTGGGATTACAGGCGTGAATCACCGCACCTGGCCGATGTGGGTCTCCTTTTCAACAAATTATCTATTTTTGCTCAATTATCTATATTTGCTGCCTTCCAACCTCCCACCAGGCCTGGGTCTATTTCTCTGTTACTCTCACTGCACCGTTGCTGGTGGAGAGGCCTGAGGGGAGACCACTGGAATAGGAGATGTCCACCTAGAACCTTATGCAGACTTGCCTAAGTTTCCTCTTGTGTTCTTGTCCTGGACATCTTGCCGTGTGAGAAAGCACGGTTCCTCCCAAATGTAATTGTAATGTGTGATATGAAATGTATAACTCGCAGTTTTAGAATGACAACATTTTATAATCTATGAACCACCTCCCCCTTTCTATGATCAGATATTTCATGAAACAAACCACAAGACGTCTTGCTTCTCTCAAGGAAAATGAAATCAAAAGACATAGGTCTTTTTTTTTTGCCTTTTTGTTGAGATGGAGTCTCACTCTTTCGCCAGGCTAGAGTGCAGTGGCACAATCTCGGCTCACTGAAACCTCCACCTCCTGGGTTCAAGCAATTCTCCTGCCTCAGCCTCCTGAGTAGCTGGGACTACAGACGCGCGCCACCACGCCCAGCTAATTTTTGTATTTTTTGTAGAGGCAGGGTTTCACCATGTTGGCCAGGATGGTCTCAGTCTCTTGACCTCGTGATCTGCCAGCCTCAGCCTCCTAAAGTGCTGGGATTACAGGTGCGAGCCACCACGCCTGGCTAGATCTCTTTTTTAAAACTTTTCTTTGCTATCTGGAAATAAGACTTTCTGTTTTTGCACAATACCACAGATCCTTTTAAAATGATGTAAAACAATTCATTCGTACCTTTTCTAGGGGCTTGGTCAGCAAAATGCCAGCCATATGTCTTGCAGACTGTTCTAATGACAAGAGTCTGGGCTGGCCTCAGACCTGCTCCAGTGTAGCCTTGAGGGCCCGTAGCTCAGTTATCTCTGTCTGATGACTTCAACTTGGGCTTGCCTTTCAGAAGGGAGGCTTCTTTTGTTCACAGAGCTCAGCCCCCATTGCAGGTTCGCCCTGGCTGCTCTCCCAGGCAGTACACAGGGAGGGGCCCATCATTGCAGAGACATCTATGGAGATGTCAAGACAGTGCCTGCGATGAAAGGGAGCGCTCATTAGTGCCTTTAATGAGGCTTCCCCAGTTTCATTTGTGGCTGAATCAGAAACTTTCTGAATCATTTACCCTGTGGCAGAGCAGTTTTCAGACATGAGAAAGGATAGGGTCCCTCCATCACAAAGAAACCTCCATGAAAACTTGACACCATTAAGGGCCTGGAACAGGGCGCGGTGTCTTCAGAAAACCACACCTTCCCACACCAAGGAGGGTAGCTGGAGTGACCGCTCTGGAAGACCCTGTGGCTTTTCTGCTGTGGTCCACCATGTGCTTCCCTCATATGGGCACCTCCCAGACTCAGGGCAGTTCCAGACCAGGGTAAAATGTAAAACAGATCTTACCAATATAGTAGAAAAGAGAGGCCTCACTCCATTCCAGGGCCAGCTAGGAGGCTGTGGCCACCTTCTCTCTAAGACTTTCTGTTTTTGTGCAAAATTCAGAGATCCATGTAAAGTGATGTCAGGGAAGCCATTCACACCTTTTTTAGGAGCCTTGTTTAGCAAAATGCCAGCCATGTGTCCTGTAGACTGTTGAAATGATAGGTGTACAGTCAGGCCTGGCCTGCCCTTCTGTCTGAGGGCAAGCACAAATCCTAACTGTAAGTATAATTCTATCAGCTCAAGCCTCCAAGTAGCACCAAAGCTCCTCTAGTTAACCTGCCTGGTGTCTACGATCTGAGACTCTTCTCTTACCCTGTTTTGTTTTGCTTTGCTTTTTGAGCCTTCATAGTTCCTTGGGCTGCCATTTTTTGACAAAGTAATGTTATATGTTTGGCTTTGCATACACACTGTATTAGTCCGTTTACACGCTGCTGATAAAGACATACCCCAGACTGGGTAACTTATAAAGAAAAAGAAGTTTAATGGATCATAGTTCCATGTGGCTGAGGAGGCATCACAATCATGGTGGAAGGCAGAAGGCATGTCTTATATGGCAGCAGACAAGAGAGAATGGGAGCCAAGCAAAAGGGGTTTCCCCTTATAAAACCATCAGATCTTGTGAGACTTATTCACTACCATGAGAACAGTATGGAGGAAACCGCCTCCATGATTCCATTATCTCCCACTAGGTCCCTCCCACAACACCTGGGAATTATGGGAGCTACAATTCAAGATGAGATTTGGGTGGGGACACAGCCAAACCATATCACACGATTTGCATTTAACTAAATTGGACCCTTTCAAGTCCCATGGTTCTCGGATACTAGGATTTCAATCCTTGCTCTCTTTCCCCGTCCTCTTTCTGAGTTCATTAGAATCTTCCCATCCTGCTTCTTCCTTTATAGTCAGTAGCACCAGAGAGTAGAGAATGAATCCTAGCCTGGCCACTGACCAGCTGTGTGATCATTGGTTGACACAACCACTCTGGCCCATGGTTTACCGGAGGGTTGGACTAGGAAATCGTAAAGACATTTCTGAGCTGTAACCTTCCATGAATCTATAGATAAGAAAACAGTATTGGGCTGCTTGGAAAGATAAAATGGAAGCTCTATCAAGATGCTGTTGTCCACCCAAGGACATCTTCTCTTGACATTCTCATCCCATCACTACCCGGGTCAGCCTCAATTCCTCAATCCTTTCAGAATCCACTTAGTAAGAGAGTTAACCTTGTGTGAAGAAGCAGTGATAGCGCCATTCCTGTTGCAGGCTCATAGCACGGAGGTTGAGATGGAGAAATACCCTCAGGCCTATACATAGGCATTATTCAGAAATCTAATTTTAATACAAGACCATATTTTTAATAGGACAAGAAATAACATGTATGGCATCCAATTAAATGTAGACTCCTGTCTTTTGAGTATGAAATCAACACAACATTGACTGCTGTCCTCTCATGGAAGTAGACAGTAGGAAAGACCTCACATTCTAGCCCCTTACACTGCAACAGTTGACATATTCCTAAATGGAGAGTGAGGAAAGGTGAGGAGGGCTGGATTTGACCACAGGCCTTGAAGAAGTTGACTGCCCATGGGAAAAGCCAATCTGTGACCTTGAAGAAGTCAACCCATGACCTTGGCCTCAGTTGACGCTGCTCTGAGTGAAGCATTGTCAGACCCCCAAGGAAGCACGTACTGAGAAACATGACTTCACTCCATGAGTACTTGGGGAAACTGAAAGGGTTTGTGCCCTTCAGTTTCCCCAAGTACTCATGGGCTGTAGCAATGTTTCTCACTTCCTAACCCATAAAGCCAAATGGCTCATGGTGGACCGGACTTCAACAAGTATTAAGTTGTTTTCTCACATTTATTTCAATCAAAGAGCTGCGCTGTTTGCATGGCCAAATAATTGGAAACAAATACCTTAATACACCTTACAAATGTGTATCCCTTTGCACTTTAGAAAGCAACTTCAACTATCAGGACAGTGAGCTTTGTTTTCCAACTAAGGTGATGAGATGGGAAAACCTTTTTGCTGCCAGAATGGGAAATCTGATTTAACAAAGACTAGATACTGACTTCCCTTGTGGCAGCCCTGTTGAAAAGAAATGTGGCACATCCAGAAGTTGTCTGAGAGGGGGTCACTGTGCAGTACTGATTATTCTTGTTGTTGTTGGCTCTGCAAAGTAATTCCAGGATTTTGTTCCATTCTATATTTAGTCATGCCTGCTATTAAATTAGAATACTTTTATATCATTGACCTTTGACATATGGACATTTTTCTGGAGGAAAAAATAACATTCAAACTCTCATATTAATGTTGGGAAAGTACAACCCTCAAAAATGTGGCAGTTTCTAAAGAGCCAGGAACTAGCCAATCAGAAGTTTATATTACAAATAAATCCCACTCATTATGCCAGGGAAGCATGTCAAGCATTGGCAGTTATGCTGGCCAAGCTAAAATGCTTCCTGAAAAATTAGAATTCCCAAATAATGCATTACAGCTTTTACCTTATGAAAAATAGAGGAAAATTGCATTGGTAATCTCACCATAAAATAAAAAGTAGATCCAAAATATAACTAAAATCATGTGGTTAACAATTTTCAAAACCTTAAACGCTCTCCAGGATGGTTTCACTCCCTAATCTCACCCTACATTGATTAATCCCAGGCAATTTAGAATAATGTGAACCATACGGTTGGTACTGGCGTTGAATTCCCTGCAGCTGTTTCAATGGTCTTGCCTTACCGTGTAGCTGCCACTTCCTCTTAACCCTCGGGTTTCTCAATCTTGGTACTATTGACTTTTCAGACCAGATCATTCTCTGCTGGAGGGTGGGGAGGATGGTGCTATTCTGGGAATTCTAGGACGTTTAACAGCATCCCTGGCCTCTATCAACCGATGCTGGTAGCGCCTTCCAGGTTGTGACAATCAAACATATCTCATGATGTTGCCTTGGACTATTGGTACTTGGTACTATTGACATTTGGGACCAGGTCTTTCTCTGTTGGAGGTTGGGGAGGACGGTGTTGCTCTGGGCATTCCAGGATGTTTAACAGCATCCCTGGCCTCTACCAACTGATGCTGGTAGCACCTTCCATGTTGTGACAATCAAACATATCTCCTGATGTTGCCAAATGTCCTCCACTGGCTGGAGAGCAGAGGTGCAAAATCACCCCTAGTGGAGGATCACTGTTAACCCTTCTGTGCCCTGTATAAAGCTTTGCCAGGATTTTGTGCTGGATAAAAATGTAATAGTATACTCTATTGAGGCAATAGAAGAACAGAGCAAAAAGTAGTTCATATAAAACCACAATAAGAGTCTGGGCACAGTGGCTCATGCCTACAATCCTAGCACTTTAGGAGGTTGAGGTGGATGGATTGCCTGAGCTCAGGAGTTTGAGACCACCCTGGGCAACATGGCGAAACCCCATCTCTACTAAAAATACAAAAAATTAGCCAGGCATGTTGGTGTGCGCTTGTAGTCCTAGGTATTCGGGAGGCTGAGGTGTGAGAATCGCTTGAACCCGGGGGGCAGAGGTTTCAGTGAGCCGAGATCATGCCACTGCACTCCAGCCTGGGCAACAGAACAAGACTGTGTCTCAAAAACAAACAAACAAACAAACAAACAGCAACAACAAAAAACACAACAAGAATGCTTTCTGAACACAAGGAAAACTTCTAATACTGAGAGTGCTTAATAATGAAATGCATTCAATGCTATTCTATTATTTGAAGGTCTTTAAAAATTAGAAGATTATCTGTAGTGGTGGTTTAGGGGCAAATAAATAGCACAGGTTTCTCTTAAATTCCTTTTTCAGACTTTTTATTCAGTTTCTTTCATATTTAACAAAAAGGATAAACAGAAAAGCATGTGGGTATATAAGAATACAAAGGAAAAGTAAATTTTTTCACAAGAAGTTTATTTTCCTTCTTTAACTGAGGAACTAGGCATAGAAAAAATGCAAGAATTGCTTAAATGAGAAACAGTGAAGAATGAAATTGAAGGATTAGTGGATCGTTCACAATATAATGGTTACAATTAAGAGATTTGTCTACTGATAAATGCTTGCGAACACACGTGGTACTAACTGTTCTTCCATCCCTCTCACTGGAAATGGATTTAGAGATTGAAGAGCTTTTTAAATTTTAATTTTAAGTCCCTTTTTTTCATTTCAGTTTTATTAATCTTCATCATAAATATTAATTTATGAGCACTGATGCCCAAAGAGCCTCAGGGCTTACTCACGAAGGATAATGAACATCACTGCTGCAGTTAACCAAAACGCAGCCTGAGTGTGAAAGAGCTGATTTGTTACTCAATTTGAGGCGGGTCTAAACCTAAAAGGCACCCCTCTTTATCGGTGATCATATTTAAAGGAACACCGCTGTAAGTATAGGTAAAACATTTAAAGGCTGGGCGTTGGGTTGGTGACGGGAGTTGTAGTTTTGACTTCTACAACATGAAACGTTAACTCTTAGGTATCTGCTCATAAAGTTGTTTTTTAGTTCATCTGCTGACCCTTTCTGCTTCTCTGAGTACTTCTCCATGCGGACAGTTATTTCAGGTCTTCCAGGAAGCACCACTGTAATCAGAGAGTGAGATCCTTCACCACCCACCTGAGGGTTGCTGTTATTGAAGGAGTGTTATTCTTTCCTCTTTCTAAAGACATGTAGCTTCTGGGGATAGCATGCATTTGATGCTTTCTGGGGAGAAAGGGGATTGCCCAACAAAAGGTTTGCAGAAATGTCACCCCCAGAGAACATTTGCAACCCTCCCTTTGCTGTCAGGAGTATTTCCACATTGCTGAGAACTCAAGGCTCCTTTGGTGAGCCCAGCCAGAAGGGCAATGCATGCCTGCCTTGTTCCTGGCAGCTGAGACCGCAGCAGCTTCTAGTAAGTGGATCAGAAGCAACAGAAAGAAATGTCAAGACTATTTATTTAAGGGGAAAAGCTTAGTTAACACGAGTGTGCCATGTAAGTGATGAAAGTGTAACAAAATGAGGAGTTTTTTAAAAAATCAATGTAGAATATAGAATCTTAAATCTCTGAGACACAAAGCAACCCAAGCATCCTTGGCTCACCCCTTCATTTGCAAGGAAGAGGGTCTTCATCTATTCAGGCTTGTATAATAGAATCCCATAGACTAGATGCCTCATAAACAACAGAAATATATTCCCTACCATTCTAGGGCCTGTGAAGTCCAAGATCAAGGTGGGGGTAGATTTGGTGTATGAAAGGGGCTCACTTCTTGGTTCATAGACAGCAGTCTTCTCTTTGTGTCCTCACATGGCAGAAGGGGTGAGGGAGATTCTGGGGTCTGTCTCTTATGAGGACACTAATCTCATTCATGAGGCTTCACCCTCATGACCTAATCACCTCCCAAAGTCTCTCCATCCTAATATCATCACCTTGGGATTGAGGATTCCAATATAGGAATTTTGGAGGAGCACATTCAGCCTATAGCAAAGAGCCATTCTTTTCAGTCCACCCAAGATGAATAGGAGACTGGTCCGAAGAGTTTGGTGGCAGAACTGGGACCTCAGACTCTAGCCATTTTTGGCACTGCAGCACCTGTTGATGACTTAGAGTGATGACTACCGTGCTGCATGAAACCAGGAGTCCAGTTGAAGCTCTTTACTTTCCCCTAAGATCATACTCTGACTCCTCCAGGAAGCTTTCCTGGATTATACACATCTGTCTTATGGTTACTTGTGTGCCAGCACCTAAAGGGTAAGAATTATATCCACTTTTGTTTATCTTATTCAATATAAGATCTTACATCTTGTTCAGTGTAACTGAGTCCATATCTGATTCAGTGTCTGGGACAAAAGAGAATCTAAAGAAATCCCTCTTGTGCCAAACACATTTCCCTTTAGTTATACAAATCTACCATGGCAGCTGAAGGGGGACAAAGGAGAGAGACACATCCTGGTCAGGGCAACCTGATGCAATGGAAAGCACACAGATTCTAGAGTTAGACAGACTTGGGTTTGAGTCTTGCTTTTTCTACTTGCAGAAGGCATGTTTTGAGGGAATTCATGTAGCTTTTTGAGCCTCAGTTTCTTTTTAGTAGGAAGGAGGATAGGAGTATCTAAGCTGCCAGGGCTGATAGGAGAGTCCAACATGAGAGTAAGTGGAAAGAGCACAACACAGCCCTGGCACATCGCAGGTGCTGAAAAAAGGGCTCCTAGAGGCTGTTCCCTGCTTTCTGGCCTTGCTTCACGTCACCACTGAAAAATAAATATCAGAGATGATAAACTTGTCTTTATCAGTTTTCTGGAAAACAAGGCACACCATATACAACAATATTTTTACCTAACATATTGGCAGATTGGCAGATTGTCCTGGGATTTTCTGGAAAATCGTTGATCATTTGGTAACAACTTTTTTTTTTTTTTTTTTTTTTTTTTTTTGAGATGGAGTTGCACTCTTGTCACACAGGCTAGAGTGCAATAGTGCAATAGCATGATCTTGGCTGACTGCAACCTCCTCCTCCCAGATTCAAGGAATTCTCCTGCCTCAGCCTCCTAAGTAGCTGGGATTGCAGGTGTGCACCACCACACATGGCTAGTTTTTGTATTTTTAGTAGAGACAGGGTTTCATTATGTTGGCCAGGCTGGTCTCAAACTCCTGACCTCAGGTGATCCGCCTGCTCAGCCTACCAAAGTGCTGGGATTACAGGCATGAGCCACCACACCCAGCCCATTTGTTTTCAGTTCTAAAATGAGGACTGCTGCTCTAATCTTGGATTTTCATGGTTTTATGGCCTAAATGTTTGTGTCCCCCCAAAATTCATGAACGGGATTCTGCCCTCGTGAATGAGATGAGTGCTCTTGTAAAAGAGGCCCTAGAGAGCCGCCTTACCCTTCTGGCATGTAAGAACACAACAAGAAAGTGCCATTTATGAAGCAGACAGAGGCCTCACCTGACGCCAAAGCTACCAGCACCTTGATCTTGGACTTCCCAGCCCCCAGAACTGTTAGCAATAAATTTCTAATGTTTATAAATTACCCAGTCTAAGGCATTTTGTTATAGAAGCCCAAGGGACTGCAACACATGGTTCTCTTCATAACCTGATATTGAATTTTTTACTAGGTAATTATCATGTGTTCCATTTCTAGTTTATCTGAAATGAAACCAAAATATAATTTAGCATTCTAACGTAAGGCTATTTATGTAAAAATGTTGCTCTCCCTGCAAGAGATCGAGAGCAAAAGGACCAGCCATTTTTACTGCAGCAATTGTGGAGTGAAAAACTTAGGCCCTAAGGAACCTTCAGTCTTCGTCAACAAGGATATAAGTGGGATTACCCTGCAAAGTTTGCTTCTCTTTTTCTTTTGGTTAATGAATGTGAAAGGACAGCCAGCATCTCCATTTAAAAAAAAAAAAAGTTTTAAAATGAATGACTAGGACACTTTGAGCCCCTGCTTTTTCAGCTATAAAATTAAGCTTGCGCTTCCAAGAATTCAGTGAATGAAGTGGATCCGTAGACATTTGTGGAGGAAAAGAGTTCAGACTTTTCTCTAAATTCTGATGTCCTCATGCAAAAAATAATAGTTTTCTCTGTGAATCTAGATTGTCTACACCTCACTAGAACCTGTTCCCTGTTCTAGGCATCATTTGAGTGAGGTATGATAAGAATTAAGAAAACTATGTCTCTAAAACAAAGCACTTTCTTGTCCTTTCCAAGGCTCCTTCTATGTTCCTCACCACCCTTAATGCTGTCATAGTCAATGTGTTTTAGGCATAGAGCTCCTATATTTTTTCCAGGGTGCTTGCCAAATCCTGTAGTGCTTTTCTGATCACTTCTTTTAGATCTCCATTCATAATGGTTTCAATGTTCCTTTACAACCTTAGTTGATTCTGCTGTTGCTATTTTCTGCATAATAGTTATAGAGCTGTCAAGGATGCTGTATCTCCCTATGCAGTTATCCTGGTGACATTTCTAGATTTTGTTCAGCTTCCCTGATGGGTCATAGAAATGAGCTTTTCCCCTGTTTCACCACCTGCCCCCTGCTCCCCTAGCCAGCTTGTCTGCTGTCCAAGTCCTTGGGGAAGCTGCTTCCTTTCTATCTGTGTCCCAGGGGCCTCTAGGGGCAGAGATACAGGAGAGAGGCAACAGACATTGGCCACCACTACCCAAAATATCAACAAAAACAACAAAACTTCTTATGTTGAAAATCTGGAAAAGAAATGCTTGAATGTGGATGAAACTGACTGTAAAACACATCTTGTTCCCCTGTTCACACACTCACTATGCCAGTGGGATAGAGTGACCCCTGTCACGGACAAAATTTTGAAACCCTTCATTCTTTCAAATGTAGTAATGTTACTGGTGGAGGGTGGCCAGGTTCTTGGCATCTTGAACAAACAATGGGACAAAACGCATAAACAAGCAAGGAAGGAATGAAGGGATTTATTGAAAATGAAATTATACTCCACAGTGTGGGAACGGCCCAAGCATAGGGGCTCAAGGGCCTCGTTACAGAATTTGTGGGGATTTAAATACCTTCCAGACGATTCCATTGGTTACTTGGTGTATGCCCTATGTAAACGAAGAGGATGAAGTAAGTTACAAAGTCATTTACTCGGTGTACACCCTATGAAAAGACATTTCCTGTCATAGCTGAAGTGTTCATCCGCTTTATGTTCCCTGCCTCCAGACCCTATTTTCCTGCCTTAGTAAGAATTTTTTTTTTTTGAGACAGAGTTTTGCTCTTGTCCAGGCTGTAGTGAAATGGCACAATCTCAGTTCACTGCAACCTCTGCCTCACAGGATCAAGCAATTCTCCTGCCTCAGTCTCCCGAGCAGCTGGGATTACAGATGACTGCCACCACGCCTGACTAATTTTTATATATTTAGTAGAGACAGAGTTTCACCATGTTGGCCAGGATGGTCTCGAAATCCTCAGCTCAGGTGATCCACCCGCCTCAGCCTCCCAAAGTGCTGGGATAACAGGCTTGAGCTACCGCACCCAGCCTTTCAGAAATATTTTTTTAAGCTAGTCAAGCATGGTTGTAGGGGGAAGAAAGTGTTGATTGGCTCAACAATAACCCACATTGGGTTATTGTGCTTGGGCTATTTTTTAATTATAATGAATAAAATCAATTACTTTTTGGAGTAATCACACACCTGTATATTAAGACATCATCATTCACTATCATTTTATGGGTGTTGTTACTATTATAACTTACTCAAAGAGACTGTAAGTCCCAGGGAGTAGTCCCTTCTAAACATACAGCATAGCCTTGAATGGGTATAAGTTGAAAATGAACCAACAGTATTGGCTGGTGATTAAGGAAGGCAACACAATTGTAAGTCACTTCCTTAGAAATACAGAGACTCCTAGGAGGAGCAAGAGAGACTGCCCCGCCTTCTCCTCATGGAACAAGGTGTGGCATCTGCAAAGTCACCAGCTAAACAGACCTGGAAACCTGGAGTTTGTCCAGAAGGGGCTTTCAGGAGATGAAGACTCTAGACACTGTCTATGAGAAGCAGAAAAAAATGGAGATGTTGAGCTGGAAGAAGAAAAGCCACAGAGAGGACATGACCCATGTTAATGTTAGTTAGCTAACATTAAAGCACTCATTCAACTTTCATTGAACAAACATTTGTTGAGCACCTTCTATGAGCCACTTACTGTGCTAGATTCTAAAGGAACCAAGGACAAAGCAGAGGACCAGGTTATTGCTTCTGCAAAACTTAGACTTGGTCAATGGGTCTGGACAAAAATGTTTTCTCAGGGAGCAATAGAATTTGGGTTGGTAATACATCTCTACGATTCTGTGGGAATGAAAGAGGCCATTTGCCTTATCCTTTCTTAATTCTTCATCTTTATGTTTCTAATTAATTGTGTAGAAGGGGGTTGGTTGGTTGGTTTGTTGGTTGGTTGGTTGGTTGGTTGGTTTTTGAGACAGAGTCTTGCTCTATTGCCCAGGCTGGAGTGCAGTGGCACAATCGTGGCTTATTGCAACCTCCACCTCCCGGGTTCAAGCGATTCTCCTGCCTCAGCCTCCCAAGTACCTGGGATTATAGGCACACACAGACACACCCAGCTATTTTCTATTTTTTTTTTTTTTTTTTAGTAAAGATGAGATTTTGCCATGTTGGCCAGGCTGGTCTCAAACTCCTGACTTCAGGTGATCTGCCCACCGTGGCCTCCCAAAGTGCTGGGATTACAAGCATGAGCCATCACACCCAACCTTAATTGCATGTTTTTTAACTCCCTCAAGAAAAGGCAGTTACACCCCACGTGAGATGTGCAGGGATAGGGGATAGAGCAAAGGCTTTACTGCACAGGGTAGTAGCAGCCAACCTAGCCCTGGGAGTCAGGAAGGTCTTTCCTGGGGAATGAACAGTGAAATCTCCACTCTGAGATGTGGAGGATGCAGAGGAACTCATCAGAAACCATGGTCATTGGTACAAGGGTCCTCGGGGGGCACAGCAATGGATGAAGCCTAGAAAAAGAATGGATTTGGCCAGTGCTAAAACTGCAGCTCTTGCTAGCTAGAGTCATACAGTCCAGAAGGGGTAGGTGGGGGAATACATAACAGCCCTAGAGCTGGAGGTCAGTGGATTCTGGTTCTGCCTTGGCCTTGACTTAGCTCTGGGACTTTGGGCAACTCACTGAGTCTCTTCAGAATCAGCTTCCTTTCCTGGAAACATATTGGTGGGTTAAACCATCTCTAATCTCCTCTTCCCCCTGACCTCTTTATGGCTCAACACCTTACATCAGAAAAGTTAACATTTTAGGCCAAAGGCTTTGGGAGGCTGAAGTGAGAGGATCGCTTGAGGCTAGGAGTTTGAGACCAGCCTGGGCAACATAGAGATATCTCATCTATACAGAAAGTTTCTAAACATTAGCTAGGTACGGTGGTGTGCACCTGTAGTCCCAGCTACACAGGAGGCTGAGGGAGGAGGATCTTCTGAGTCCAGGATTTTGGGGCTGCAGTAAGCTGTGATGGCACCACTGCACTCCAAACTGGGCAACAGAGCAAGACACCGACTTAAAAAAAAATTAACAAATAAGCTAAAATTTTATAAATCTTTCTAAATAACAGTATAATTTAGGTTAAGAACCACTGCTCTGGGATTCTATAGCAATTAAAGGCTCTTTTGCCTTTTTATTCTTAATTCTACACTGTTATATTCCTATTTAAGCATTCTTTCCCTCAAACGACGTTTTCTCCTAAAGCTGCAGTCCCTGTATCTGTCTGTTTCCCCCCAGACCCTTCGGGAACGTCTGGCAGTGACACTCTTTGCATGGGACTGGGTTTTACAGTAGATTAGAGAGAATCATTTTCAACACCACAGGGACAAACCATATCTCATTCAAAAACAATCCCTAGGCATGTCCCTGAGCCTCCGCGGCCATCAATGGGTCTGCAGAGCTGAGGTTTCCTTTCTGACTCCTTGAAAGGCTCACGCAGGACAAGTAACCCCTGCGGCTTATCAGGCAGAGACCAGCATTATCAGACGCTTAACGGAGAAGCCAGAGAGTAGCAGGAGCCCTCTCTTGTCACTCGTCACCTCTTTATTACCATTCTGAGCCAAAACCACACAAGCCACTAAATGCAGTGAACGCCTTTGATGAAAGCAGGGCGTAGTGAGTGAAGGAGGTAGAGCCTCATTCAGTCCTGTGCAGACCCGGCTGAGCCTATGGGGATTGCAAGCTGGAAGTCCTCCACAAATACATAGTTCTCTGCATGAGTGAAGTCATCTCCATCTTCTCACCAAGTTTGAAATAGGGTGTTATTGTTACATATCCCTCCTGTCTGGAAATTAAATGTATTTTTTTTCTTGGAGAGAAAATTGTTAATTCTCACTCCATGTCCTGGCACTGAATAATAATTATTATAATCCTTTTGGTTAATATTTATTGCATGTTTATTATGTACCTGGCTCTTTGCTGTATGATTTTCATGGAATATCTAATTTAATCTTCACAGCAACCTTATGAGAGTATTTATGCCCATTTGATAGATGAGCAAACTGACACAAAGAAAGTTCAAGTTAATTTGCCTCCATCATAGCACTAGTAAGTAGCACAGCTAAGATTCAAACTCACAACAGACTCTGACCGCAGATCCCATCTCTACCACTACAGCCTACTGCCATGTTGCCTGCTGAGAACTGAAATACTGAAAGTTATAAATATTTTGCCTAAGTTAATATTCGGGAATGACTTAGAACCGCTAATAGAAACTAGGCCTCCAGCTTTGGGGAGTGCTGTTCCCTCCCTACTGTCCCCCAATTTTTTCAGGTGGCAAAATAAGCCTAAATTCCAGGTTTTAAACCAGTTGTTCTGGATTTTCCTTCCAGAGGTGATGTTGGTTCTTATCTTCATAAGTTGGTTTTCACTCTGGAAGGGACAACACTGCTCCCCCACCAGGCTCTACCATGGCAAACCTTCAAGGTGCAGCACTCGGGTAAGCAGGTGACCCAGGGCGTAGTAGGCGGGCAGCTCTGCACCTGCCAGGTGGACACAAAGGGTGTCCAGGTAGCACGCTGTACCTCCAGCTCAGGGTGGTCTTCAGCAAGGACTCAGCCTGGAGAACACACGGCAAGTTCTCCAGACTGGCTGCTAAGCATTCCATGCAGAAAGAGAATGGAGCCTGCACAAATTATGAAACATGGAACTGTCACTGTGATGATATGATTATGGAAAATTTACATTTTATATGTCAAGTGGCAGCTTAATTTAAAAATAAAAAACTCCTGCAGGCTACCATCCCACAAATAATGTGTGGCTTGCTGTGCAGCCAAACACGCTTACAAATAATAAGGAAATAAAACATGAGAATAACAAAATGGTTTGGCGCAAAAAGAAAAGGGTGCCAAGCGTGTCCGGTTACTTTCAGATCAATTTCTAATATGCCACCAAATGCTCAAGCATGTTTGGAACAAACTGGAGGCCTTATTAAACTGAGAATTCCATGTGACATTATTTCAAGGAGGCCTCCTCCTTCTCATTACTCTGTTGCACGTCTCTGAACAGGCAGGAAGGGAGAGGAAAAAGGAAGCTGGAAGAAGTCCCCTGTAACTTGTGCCCACTGGGCCGTCTGTGCTGGCTGAGTGGCCCAGCCAGCCCCTAGCACTGGGGCAGAGGGAAAAGGGATGGGGCATGACTTTCAGCAGTATCTCCTCTCCTGCCCAGGGACACCCCCACATATCCTCAGAGCCACTGCCAGCCAGCCTTAGCACAATGCCAAATCACGAACAGGCCATTAAGGAGAATATATGATCTCCATTTATCACTGACTGTAAAAAGAAATGAAACAGAGCAGCTAAGTTAAAAAACCAACTGCTAGTCTTCTAGTAAGGGTCTTTATCTTTTTAATCCCACGGCTTTAAAAAATGTGCATGTAGATCATTTGCCAGGATATAAATGCCAATCCAAATACTTGTGTAAATAATTTAATTTTCATTAATTAGAATTCAGAGTTTAGGATTTTTTCTTTAAGTAGAAGAGAAAAACAAACTTGGTTTGCTCAGAGTTTGTTTTTCTCTTCTACTTAAAACAAAAAAAAAAATCCAGCTAAAGATATGTTAAGTAAGGCTGGGCCTTTCAGCACTTTGGGAGACCGAGGTGAGCGGATTGCTTGAGCCCGGGAGTTGGAGACGAGCCTAGGCAACGTAGCAAGACTTCTTCTATGCAAAACATTTAAAAAGTTGGCTATGCATGGTGAAATGCACCTATAGTCCCAACTACTTGGGAGGCTGAGGTAGGAGGATTGCTTGAGCCTGGGAGGTCAAGACTGCAAGGAGCCAAGATTGCACCACTGCACTCCAGCCTCAGCAATAGAGTGAGACCCTGTCTCAGAAAAAAAAAAAAAAAAAAAAGGTATGTTAAGTATAACTATCCTTTTCCTCCCAGCTGAATTTCTCTTTTTAAAAATGGATCATTGAGCTATAATTTTAAATTCTAAATACAATTCAGTTGAATTCTGAAAATGGACTCTAAAAATAATATCAAGGAAAAAAATCTGTTACATTTCTTATGAGCTCCATCTTAACTTACTTGCTCCAAATGAACTCAAGTTTCTTGAATTTCCAACACTGCCAACTACTTTAAAATCTAAAGATCAAGTTGTGTTTACTTTCCATATGTTGTTATGAAATGATGGCCTTCTCTTCTGTATGGACAGTCTCTACACATTTATAGAATTTATAGTTCTGGCATTTACTATCATGCTAGCATCACTTGTGGAAGAGGACAGCCTAATGGAAATAACTAGACTCTCGTTCTGATCGTTTCCTCATGCAAAGGGTATTTTTTGGCTATTTTAAAATTATCTCCCAGCTCCTTGTAGAACTTGTACCCTGAGAAAAGGCAGAAACCACTTGAATCCAATTGAAATAGAAAATTCTTAACTTCTTGAGTGCTGTAAGAAAAATCAGATACCAATATATGATTCAGTAAGCTGTAAAAATCAATCTTCAAGCACTGATTCATGGGCAGCCATGAGTTTAGAGGAGTCTAGGTTCTAGAAAACATTTCTATTATAGTAGAATCAGTTTTTCTACATAGATGGTTTTACATGTTAGGGGAGCAAATGATGACACTGGGCTTCATTCTCAACCGAATTTTTTTTTTCTTTTTTTTTGAGACGGAGTCTTGCTTTGTCACTCAGGCTGTAGTGCAGTGGCACGATCTCAGCTCCAACCTCTGCCTCCCGGGTTCAAGCGATTCTCCTGCCTCCACCTCCCCAGTAGCTGGGATTACAGGTGTGTGCCACCACGCCCAGCTAATTTTTTCTGTATTTTTAGTAGAGATGAGGTTTTACCATGTTGGCCAGGCTGGTCTTCAAGTCCTGACCTCAAGTGATCTGCCCGCCTCAGCCTCCCAAAGGGCTGGGATTATAGACGTGAGCCACCACACCTGGTCTCTAAACTGAAAACTTAAATGAAGGCTTGGGTTGGACTCTTAGGACTTGGAAGAACTTGACCATGTTACCTTCTTCGGAAAGGTGGGAAATCCAATCTGTAGGAATAAAGATAGAAATTCCAGAAGTGACCCTCAGTGGAATTTATTTTTCTGCTCTAAAAGTATGTGGGTCTTTTAGGCGTCTTGGCTCTGTTCATTCTGTGTATCCTTGTACATTGTCGTGTAGGGCACATTTTTCTTATTTGCTTGTATAAGGACACTGTCTTAAGTAGAAAACATGAAGACCAGCATGGTCAGTGAGCCCTGAGTGAAACAAATGTCCTGTCTTACTACAATCAAAACTCTGTTTCAACAGCAGCTGGTGGACCAAAAGGAAATACTGTGCTTTCTGCTAGTGTTTGAAGGAGATGACATTATAAAGCCTGCAAGTAAATCTCTAGCAGGCTTCTTATCTTTGCCTTTGGCTTCCAAATTGCTGACTGATCATTGGGACTGCTGTTGTGTTGCTTTTTATTATGGACTGGAATTGCCTTGGTTATTGGCTTGGCACTAATCAATACCCATCACAAAAGGGAATAGACAATGAGATCATCATCACTCCTCCTTCTCCCAGGCCTTAAGGGGTCCAGAAACAATCACTCCCTACAGTAAAATCTCAACTATCTGGACCAGTCTGGCTGCAAATAACCCCAGTGATGAGATTTTCACTGATTCTTCTAGGAATCTGTGTTCACAGTTGGCCAGGGCAGGCTGACAAATGTTTTCCAATACACAGCCTCATTTTCTCTTCTGTTCCATTTCTTCACATCACTTCTAGTTAATGCACAATATACAGAAGCAGAAACAGGTCAAAACTGGGTTGAATATATTCCCCTCGTCTGTGGTTTTCAAATCTCTGCAGCCACGAATTTCCTCCTTGAACCACACACGATGAACAGACGCCTAATAGGAGAAATAAAAAGTTGATTTCCTTGAGCAGCAAATTTTTAGCACACACCAAATTCAATCAATCATATAAATGTACTGATTGATAACTTGAAATTGCATGAGGTAAAGGGAAATTTTATACTAAAAAAAAAAAAAAAAAAGAGCCAGGTGCAGTGGCTCACCCCTGTAATCCCAGCACTCTGGGAGGCCGAGGTGGGCAGATCACGAGGTCAGGAGATCTAGACCATCCTGGCTAACACGGTGAAACCCTGTCTCTACTAAAATTACAAAAAATTATTCAGGCGTGGTGGTGCGTGCCTGTAGTCCCAGCTCCTGAGGAGGCTGAGGCAGGAGAATTGCTTGAACCTGGGAGGCGGAAGTTGCAGTGAGCCGAGATCACGCCACCGCACTCCAGCCTGGGCAACGGAGTGAGACTCCATCTCAAAAAAAAAAAAAAAAAAAAAAAAAAAAAAAAAAAGCGTTTCACTACAATAGAAACTTTCACTGGGCCCGATATTGTTACACTGAAAATGGATTTTAAAGAAGGAACAGAAACTAAAATTAAAGAGCATTTGCATGCTGCCTTTTGTGCAATTAAATTTTTCTGGGAAAGTGGTTTGAATGACCAAGAACAGAAGATAAAGCGATCACATTCAGGAGGTTAAATTTTTGTACACAAAAGTAAATATACAAATACTTTTGATTGATAATAGAAGTGGTGATTAGAGGGAATTCTTTGTTTAATGTATATCTCCATCTGTTTTGGCCCAGTGGTCAAGATCAAGCCCCACCATTGGTGCAGTCAGTGAATCTAAATTCTGATCAGGAGTGGGATAACCCCACCATCCCTGTGATATCTCTTCCTTGAAAGAAGTAAGTGCAGATCTTGCCCATTGTGCCACCACAATTGCAGCCTGTATTAATGAAGAAATGCTCCAGTTGCATTCTCTCTTAAGTCATTCTTTTTTTTTTTTTTTTTTTTACACGGAGTCTCGCACTGTCACCAGAGCTGGAGTGCAGTGGTGCAATCTCGGCTCACTGCAACCTCCGCCTCCCAGGTTCAAGTGATTCTCCTGCCTCAGCCTCCTGAGCAGCTGGGATTACAGGCGCCCGCCACCACGCCTAGCTAATTTTTTGTATTTTTAGTAGAGACGGGGTTTCACCATGTTGGCCAGGCTGGTCTCGAACTCCTGACCTCATGATCCGCCCGCTTCGGCCTCCCAAAGTGCTGGAAGTCATTCTTTCAACAGATGTCTGCTGAACACACTATGACAGGTACTCTTCTAAACATCAGGGATAACGCCGAGAATAAAACATGTCCGTGCCCATGCTCAGGAAAGTTCCATTTTAAGAGGACTTAGGGTAGACAGGAAATGAACAAATATAAAATCTGTACTGTGTCAGATGATAAGTAACATCATGAAGAAAAATAAAATAGTCTAGGAGGATGGAGAGTAATGTGAAAAGAATGTGGTTTTGACTGAGTGGTCAGGGACTGCTTCTCCCTGAGAGAAGTCCTTCCTTTATGGCAAGAGATGCTATCTGGGGGAAGAGAGTCCCAGGCAGAGGGAACGGTAAGTGTGGTGGCCTAGAGGTGGGAGCATGGCTTTTCTGATGACTGGGAAAAAAAAAAAGGAACGAGAAGAAAAGTAGGCGGAGATAAGATGGGGTAGAAAGGAGATTTCCAAATAATGTTGATTTTTTAGGCTGGCCCATGCACTTTGGCTTTTACTCTTAATTAGATGAGAAGTCATTGGAGGAACTTCAGCTGGAGTGTAATGTGATCTGGCTTACGATTTTAAAGGATTACTCAGGCCATGGCATGGACAATAGACTGAAGGAGGCCATGTTCCACAGCCTGAGTCATTTTTAGCCATTCCCTCATTGGGCAACAGAGACAGCATGTCCATGAGATGGGCACATAGTATAAAAGTGGGGAATAACAGCTTCAAGATCTTAAAAAGCTTCTTCTTAACTTTAGATGCGCAGCTGAATTGCAGCCTCCACTGCCTCTCCCCTAGCCACGGCCCACCCCAACCTGATGGTTGATCCCTCTCACATGGTTTGTCATTGACATGTGGCACATGCTGCCTCTATCATTACATTGCTTTGTGACTTGCAGGTTTATTTTGTCTATCTCCCCTTCAATACTGTGCCAACCTTGAAAACAGGGTGGTGCCATGTTCACCTCTCCATTCCTCCCCAGGGCTGGCACATCACAGAGACTCAACCATGCTTCTTTGCATCAGTGAATTCTTTAGCAATCTGTTAGGACTAGCTAGCACCAATAAGATGAAATATCTTAAAGATCAACTGCTTATGTATAAGATAAACGTGGCCTACCTTTACAATAGTCCAGGTTTTAAAAAAAAGTCTGATTTTTAGCAGACCTTGAACTCGGTGTGAGGCATTACATGTGGTATAGCTGTTCTTTAAAAAAAGTGATGAAACCTTATGGTAAACATAGGTTTGGGCCATTTGCCGATTAGAATAAATGTATCATAGCATATACATGATGCTGTGCTAACATACCCGGTTTATGTGTGTGTACGTATGTGCACACATGTGTGAGCAGAAGCATTGTTTCCTCTTTCATCAGATAAGGGACCTGCCCACAGAGCCTAAGTCTAAAGTTGTGGTACTAGTAGTTTGGAAGGAGAAAATGTCGCACTCAGGAACACTTGTATGGAGGTCGGGTGCTTTAGTTCCTTGACATCATAACGGTCATGGGTTTTGTTGACACCTGAAGAAGAAAGCTGTTTATTTACATATACACTGTAGATTCTCCTTAGATGAAAGGGATTTGGCCTTAAACATCATCTTCAAGGAAACATATATTGATGCTTCTAAGATTCAAACAAAGAGACAGAGATTTTTGAATAACATTGCCCTGGAAAACCTCACTCGATACAGACCATCCACTCTAGGGTTTCCCACCATGCTGTTTATTGTGTGTCCAAGGTGTGTGTTCCTTATTACTTCCTTCAGGAAAATACATGATTACCCTAGGTTATCATTATGGACTGAGCACATTTTTTTCTCATCCCATTTTCTCACTTCTTACAAGCATAATTTAACCAAAGAATGAACTACTCACAGTTGCTTATAATCCTGAATGGCAAATCAATCCTGCCATTTGAATACAGTCTATTTATTGCAGACAATTACTGTAGTCTGAAGAAGTCATAAATAGACAGACATGGCAGAAATAGTCAACATTTCTGTCACATGCCTCATTGTAATGATTCAGCTCTACTATGTCCTAGAGAGAGAAAAAAAAATTTACAAAGCACAGAACTTGTGGGTTTCTAAATAATTTTTAACTGGCACCATACGATGCTAATTTTGTCTCCTGTTTTGGCATTTTCTAGTCAGAAGCAGTATGATCTTGTCATTAGAATAATAAAGCAGGAATTTTGCCCTCTAGTTCAAGTAGAGGTTTGAGCAGGAGGAGAGCTTTTTATTTTTAGAGCAGACTGCACTTACCTCATAGCTAGAAAATAATCACCTGTAATCTAAAAAAATAAACCACCTGTATACTACTTCTATGTACTTTTACATGACCTTAAACCAGTCATTTAACCTCTTTGTGTTTTACTTTCTTTTATAAAATAAGAGTTAGACCACATATATTTTCTGGCTGTATAAGATCATTTAATACTTGCCATAATACATGTACTGACATTGATCTTAAAGACCATTGCCTGTCTTTATTTACGTAGTACCTTCTATTTTTTTTTTTTAATTCTTCACTGATTATCACCAATGTAAGGGATAGACAGATGAATTGTCACTGTCATCATGAGCTGGGGCTGCAATAACAAAATACCATAGACTGAGTGGCTTAACCAACAGACATTTATTTCTCACTGTGCTGCAGGCTGGAAGTCCAAGATCAAGATGCCAGCAGATTCCATTCCTGATGAGGGCTCTCTTCCTGGCTTGCAGACGGCCACCTTCTTGCTGTGTCCTCAGGTGGCAGAGACAGAAAGCTCTGATCTCTCTTCTTCCTCTTCTAAGGGCTCTAGTCTCAACATGCAGGCTCCACCCTTAGAACTCATCTACACCTAATCGCCTACCAAAGGCCTCCTCTCCAAAAACCATCACATTGGAGGTTAGGACTTCAACATATAAATTTAGGGGAGAGGAATACAATTTAGTCCCTAGCAGTCACCATATAACATTTCTAAATTCTTAACATACACGGAGGGAAATGTTGCCACAAGAAACAATGTAAAATAATGTAAGAGCACTGGAACCACACTGTCTGGGTTTGAATTGCAGTTCCGTCTCTCACTAACTCCAAGACTCCATTCCTTATGTGCTGCTATGGCCTGAATGTTTGTGTTCCCCAAAATTCATCTGTTGAAACCTAGCCCCCAAGGTCCTGATATTAGGAGGTGGAGCCTTTGACAGGCCATTAGGTTATGAGGGTGTGCTGAGCCCTCATGAATGGTATTAGTACCCTTATAAAAGAGGCACCAGCCCAGACATGGTGGCTCATGCCTATAATTCCAACACTTCGGGAGGCCAAGGCAGGTGGATCACTTTAGCCCAGGAGTTTGAGATCAGCCTGGGCAACATACTGAGACCTGATCTCTACAAAAATACAAAAATTAGCCAAGCATGGTGGCACACGCCTGTGGTCCCAGCTACTTAGGAGGCTGAAGTGGGAGGATCACTTGAGGCCAGGAGGTCAAGTCTTCAGTGAGTCATGATTGCACACTCCACTCCAGCCTGGGTAACAGAGTGAGAATCTGTCAAGAAAGAAAGAGAGAAAGAGAGAGAGAGAGAGAAAGAGAGAAAGAAAGAGAGAGAAAGAAAGAAAGAAAAAGAGAGAGAAAACTAAAAAGCCCCAGAGAGGTCCCTTTTCCTTTCTACCATGTAAGCACACAGCCAGAAGGCAGCCGTCTGCAAGGGGAAAGAGGAGCCCTCACCAAAATCCAATGGTGCTCGTGCCCTGATCTTGGGCTTCCAGAACTGTGGGAAATAAATTGCTATTATTCATAATAGAACCCAGTCTATGTATTTTGCTATAGCAGCCTGAACAGACTAAGACATCTGTAAAATGGGGATGATAGGATTAAGTGAATTATGATAGGTAACATGTGTGGCGCAGTGCCTGGCACATAGTGAGAATTGATTCAGTGTTAGTTACCACCCTACTATTGAAGCACCTGTGTATAACTGGTCACATGCTAAGTGGAAGGATTAAAAAAAAATAATAAAAGCAAAGATTTGAATACAAAAATTGGCTTTCAAGCCCAAACAAACATGCCATGTGTACAAAATTTTGGAATAATAGTGAATGATTTTATAAGCCAAGTGCAGGACACATGTCTAAAAAGAATGTTCCCATGGGAGAACACAGTGTTGAATTTCTGACACCGCAGTAATGACAGGGAAATACCCTTTCGACACAAGTGGTTTTCCACTATTCACCTATAAGTGTGTGGTGGAATTCAAGTGCTGTGGACTTTGGTTGCAAAAACACAATGCCCAAATTTGTACGCAACCAAAGGTTGTATTGTAATGTAGGTTCTTACTACCTAGAAAGAATTCCTATAATCACCTTAAAAATCTGCATTCTGGATGAAAGTATTTAACACACTTTCAAAATACCCAGGTAGGACTGGGTGAAGACAGGCAGGATGTAAAGGACACCTTAAAGGCATTCAGTTCAAGAACCTCATCATAGCTTTTGAGAACAAGATTGTCCTAAGGAGACAAAAACATGGAGTTGGGGAGGATAGCATTGAGTCAGTAGCTCCAAAGTTCTGCTTCTGCCAAAAAAAATGCCTACATGCCAGAGGAATGTTAAATGCTGGATCTTTTTGTTCCATCTAACTGGTTTCGTAAAGATTTGGAGTGGCTCTGTGATTGTTTTATACCTGATGACTCTTCTCAGTTGCTGTAGACCCTTTAATACTTTAAAAATCTTGCTCCCCTTCTAAGAGACAGGAAAGATTTAGGACTGTGGTGGGGGATATAGTTTCTGAAGTTCTAATTGGCTTCTTTGATGGTCCCTATTGTGTTATGTAAGCTAGGTCAGGCGCACATGCAATTGTGTTAGTTTGTTTGTGTGTTTGTTTGTTTGTTTGTTTTTTGAGACAGGATCTGACTCTGTCACCCAGGCTGGAGTGCAGTGGTGCAATCTCAGCTCACTGCAACCTCTGCCTCTTGGGTTCAAGCAATCCTCCTGCCTCAGCCTCCCGAATGGCTGGGATTACAGGCACATGCCACCACGCCTGGCTAATTTTTGTATTTTTAGTAAGGACAGGGTTTCACCATGTTGGCCAGGCTGGTCTCGAACTCCTAACCTCAAGTGATCCGCCCACCTCGGCCTCCTAAAGTGCTGGGATTACAGGCTTCAGCCACCGCGACTGGCCTTAATCCAATTTTTTGAATTACTTAGAATTTTGAAATAAGTATTCCTCCACTTAATTGCTACATTTTAATTTATATAAAATTAATTTAATCCTATACAAATTAATTTAAAAAATTTAATTTTATATACATTAAATTCATTTTAATTTGTGTATATATAATCTCACTATGAAGCATTTTCTACACTCTTAAGTCCAGTGATGTTTCTGAAGGTTTGAAGATTTTTCTAAGTTTTCTTTCTCTCTTGGACCCGCCCTGCCAAATTATTCACACTGTTACTACCCAGAAATAAAATGGGGCACGTAATTGGAAAATATAGGCATCTACTTACTTATTAACTCATTAGTACCATGATGACTGAACAGCTTCCTAAGTCAAACAATACCCAACTGCAGTATAAACAAAGTCACGGACAACTGGCTTGTTTAAAACTTATGGCGCTTGAGCAGGAGTTTTCTTTTTAACCTTTTCTGCTAAGAGACTTTTTTTTTCCTACACATCAACTGTACTTATTCATGCCCTCTCTGAAACCCACATCTCCAGTAATTACAATGAGTTTAGAAACAAGTGTGGAAGAAATTGGACCATACGATACCTTCCCCTAGGCATCTAACTAGATGTCACTTTGGAAATTAAGATGAGCTTCCTAATTCTAGAAAGAAGCCACCAGACCACAGATGCCTGTAAATCAGCTGTGAAGACATCAGATAGAATCATTTGGGCATAAATAGGAAATTAGGGGGGCATTTGTCATTTAAATATGTATTTGAAAGCTTTTTTTTTTTTTCTTACAAAAAACCATTTTGCTTTGTTTTATAACAGTATTGACTGGCGGGGCATGATGGCTCATGCCTGTAATCCCAGCATTTTGGGAGGCCGAGGCAGGCGGATCACTGTGGTCAGGAGTTCGAGACCAGCCTGACCAACATGGCAAAACCCCATCTCTACTAAAAATATAAAAATTAGCCAGGTGTGGTGGTGCACACCTGTAATCCCAGCTACTCAGGAGGCTGAGGCAGGAGAATCACTTGAATCCGGAAGGCAGAGGTTGCAGTGAGCCGAGATCACACCACTGCACTCCAGCCTGGGCGACAGAGTGAGACTCTCTCTCAAAAAAAAGAAAATTGTATTGACTGATATTCGTAACAGACATGTAGCAGAGCCTAGAGCTTTGCACATAGTACTTGACTGAAAATTAGTTAAGGGAATGAATAAATAAATAAATAAATAAATGAACCACTCTAACATCCTGCTTTGAAAGTTCAAGTTTCTAAAATTCTACGTGACATTTTTACTGCTTGTTCATAATATCAGAGCTGGGGGCTAAGATGGGGGTCATTTAGACTGGAGACGTCATTTAGCATTCATTAATTCAAAAATGGTGTATTGAGCCTAGTATGTTCCAGGCACTGTTCAAGGCTCTGGAGATACAACAGAGAACTAAACAGACCAAAGCCAGGCCTGCAAGAAACCCACATTCTAATACAGGGAAACAGACAATGGACAAATAAATAAACATGCAATATAGGAAGTAATGAAAACAAAGGAGAAGAATAAATCTCAGTGCTGGGGAAGAGAAAGCAGTTTTAGGTGGAGTGTCTCCTTTTCAACAGCAGGTCAGCTGAATTCTCCGCACTGGGAAATGCCTGTTGACTAAGGTAATAGTGATCACTTTTTGTAGAGTGATTTACAGTTGACAGTGCGCTTGCCCACACCACATCCTCTGAACTTTCCTGCAGCTCTTTGAGATCCTAATACTCCCCGTGCTATCAGCAACAAAACTGAGGAGCAGAAACTGATCAAAGGGCTCACCCAAGGCCATGCACCTTGTGAGTGCCAGTGCCCAACTGTGGCTCAGATTTCCTGTCCCCTTTGCCGGGTGTTGCAAAGAGAGGGACCTTCGGTGCCAGCCCTGCCAACTGGGGAATGAGAAAGGGTGAGCTGTTGGGTTTGTGTCCTGCTTGGTTACTCTTTTCTGAAGTTTGATATTTACAGTCCTTGATTTGTTTGTTTACCCCCTAGAGAGAATGAAAGTACAGTGTGTGTATATTATTAAATAAAATCTGTGGGCCGGGCATGGTGACTCACACCTGTAATCCCAGCACTTTGGGAGGCCAAGGCAGGTGGATTGCTTGAGGCCAGGAGTTCAAGACCAGCCTGGCCAACATGGTGAAATCCCATCTCTACTGAAAATATAAAAATTAACTGGGCATGGTGGTGCATGACCATAATCCCAGTTACTCAGGAGGGTGAGGCAGGAGAATCACGTGAACCCAGGAGGTGGAGGTTGCAGTTTGCAGTGAGCCAAGATTGCGCCACTGTACTCCAGACTGGGCGACAAAGCGAGTCTCCATCTCAAAAAAAAAAAAAAAATCTGTGATGGATATTAAGATAGAACCAGATAGAAGAATTGGGCAGAATTAAAGAATCTCCCAACAATATTAATATCCGCATGCTTATCCCTCCTGTGTTTGTCAATCCGAATCACACCCTAGCTAGGAGCTGCATAATTTGTCACCTGACTTGGTATTCATCACACTAAAGCCACTTCTTGGTGATGAGAATCTTTATCAGGAAGTATGTCATCCCTGCTATATTGAAACTTTTTTAAAACACTGTTTTGAGAGCCAAAACTTCGGTGAGCACACAGAGACAATTCTTTTCCTACTTAGAACAATCCAAGTATAAAACCTCAAAGCAGATTTCTCTCACACAAAGCTTTCGTTTTAAATGTGCTCGGCCACTGTTTATTTCAAAGCCATGTGAGATTATCTTTTTCTTCTGTTTCTTTCTTTTTTGGGGGGAAATGAGTAGAATGTTTTTCTTCTTCTCCTAAAAACAAGCAAACAAATACAAAAGAAATAATCAACACATATTTACTGAAAATATGGTATGGTTTTAGTGAGGTGCTGACGTCAGCATGATCGGCATGAGACACTAGAGAAAAATGTAGATTTGAATTTACAGAGAGATTTGAATTCTACATTGTACATTGAATCTACAAACAGAGATTTGAATTCTAGCTCTACCACACACTGGGGAACCTCAGGCAAGTTACTGAGCCTTGGAGCCTCAGGTTCCTCTTCTGTAAAATGGGTATAACACCTGCTCTGAACTGTCATTATGGGACTAGGTGAAATAGAGACTGTTCAACATCTGGCATATGTTAGTCAATAAATGGCACTATTACTACACACTAGTTGGGCCTTTGCTCAAGGGCAATAAAGACCTTGACCTGGGCTGGGATCCCCAAAATCCAGAAGGGGAATGGGCAGGGCTGGGCCTTAAGAGTAGATGTAGAAGCAAAGGAAAAGTGAGATCCAGGATCCTCGGAGTGTGAGGACCAGCCATAGACCCAAGGAAGAAGATGGGAGGCAAAGCCAAAGTGAACAATCTACAGCGGTGACCAGGCAGATGATGGAGCTGAGCGGGGCTCCCTGAGACCCTTCCCTGGTGGGGAAGAGAGAATGAAACCTAAAGACTTCACAGCCAGAGCCACGGTCAGGCAGCCACAGGGTGTAGCAGGGCTCATAGATGAGATACTGGCTTCCATCTTGAGAGATTTTGCAGTTCCAGTTGACCTGCCGTCAGTGCCATTGCAGATCATTGCGACTTCTCCAAGTCTGTGCCTTCAGCAGTGGTGAATTCAGACAATGTTGTGTTTGTTCTCTGAATACAAATTACTAGTGTTGGGAAACCACAGTGCCTGAGCCAACCCCCCAACTGGAGCTCTTTGTTCGCCGTGCCTGGTCCCTGACTCCAAGAGCCAGAAGGGACCTCAGAGGTCAGGAGGCCAACCGCCCACAGGGAGCAGGGATTCCCTCTGCAGCGGGAGCACAGGTGGTGCCCAGCCTCTGCAGGAACACTCCAGGGAGAGGACACTCACCCACCGCTTCCAGAAAGCCACCTCCTTGGGTAGCAGCTCTGAGTGGCACAAAGCCCTTTGTGCAGTCACCACAAAATCTGCCCACTTTTTTTTTTTTTTTTTGAGATAGAGTCACTCTGTCGCCCAGTCTGGAGTGCAGTGGCGTGATCTCGGCTCACTGCAAGCTCCGCCTCCCAGGTTCATGCTATTCTCCTGCCTCAGCCTCCCGAGTAGCTGGGACTACAGGCACCCACCACCATGCCCGGCTAATTTTTTGTATTTTTAGTAGAGACGGGGTTTCACCGTGTTAGCCAGGATGGTCTCGATCTCCTGACCTTGTGATCCGCCCGCCTCAGCCTCCCAAAGTGCTGGGATTACAGGCGTGAGCCACCGAGCCCAGCCTCACTTTTAAGCCCCGCTTCCTGACCCTTTCCACTTAGTTGGTCCTCCTTCCATGCACCAGCACTTAACACATCTAATCTCGAAGAAAACCGTGCTCCAGTTCGCTAGCCCCCGCCTTCCCACTGCTAGAGCTATTCTTTTGGGGACTAGACATCACCATTCCCTTCAGTCATTGAAGCTGGACCTGAACACTTCCTCATCCTAAATGCTCTCGCCTGGATTTGATGAAATTTGCAAACATCTGTCTTAAAATGTAGCCATGAAACAGAACACAGTACTCCCTATAATGTTGTTAATATGTCGGTCCCATTAACTCCCAGTGAGAACACTGTGGTTTGTTGTGGTTTGCTGTTGTTGCTGTTGTTATTGTTGTTTTCGAGGCCAGGTCCCACTCTGTTGCCCAGGCTGGAGTGCAGTGGTGCATTCCTAGCTCACTGCAGCCTCCAACTCATGGGCTCACGCAATACTCCTGCCTCAGCCTCGTGAGTAGCTGTGATTACAGGCACACGCTGCCATGCGCAAATTTTTTTTATTTTTTGTAGAGATGGGGTCTCACTCTGTTGCCCAGTCTTGTGGTTTGTTTCATATACTAATATTGCATGAGCTTTGGGGTCCACCACATCACACTTCAGCCTCCTATTCAGGTTGCTGTCAGTAACATTCAGGTTGTATGGGTTTTGTTTTTTTAATGCTGCTTTTCTCCTCCTACACGTAAGTAGCTGGTCTGTTTAAATCTTCATTCCACATTGTTAAATCCATCAGTCTCTCTTTGGCCTGTTGGAATCTTGCTTTTAAGCTAAGTTTTTGTCATTTTAAAAATTGGATTTTATAAATGCAACCAAGGGATAATAAAAGTATTTATCAGTACATAAAAATAAAAGGCCTGTGGTTCACAGAGATCAATGAAGCTCTTATTAGAATTCGGCTGTTATTATTGTTAATAATATTGAATGCCACTGATTATTGACCTTGTTAATAATATTAATTTATCATAGTGTTGGTAGTAGTATTACTGCTAGTACTCATCATCAGCATATTGGATACGTTATTCATAACTTGATATATTATTTCAGAAATTGACATTCCTTGTATATGGTTATTTTACCCATTAGAAGTCTGCCTATGATAAGAGTATACGTTTTCATCTTGACCTTGAGTAGATCATGAGAAACTTTGTAAAATGTTTCACTGAAACCACAGCATACTCTGCCCTGTAATCCTCCCAAAGAGGAAATTAGGCCAACATGCATCCCTGGCTTTAGACAACAGAAGGCATCTGCCCGCGCCTTCCTCTTCTTGAGCAGAGGCCACAGCTGAATGACTGCCCAGGGCTTTGACCTCAGCTGCTTCCTTTCCAGGGAGGGAGAGGGGTGTTGGTCCACAGGCAGTCAAGCCTCACCTGCTAGCCAAGTTCACCTCCCAGCTCTTCCCCCAGTCACTATGGTTGTCTCTTAGAGGCCTCTGCGTCTCCCCGTCCTCTATCCTGAGCTACAGCTCATATCCGCCTGATAGTCTATGTACTTATTTAGTATTTGTTCATTGTCAAACTCCCCCACCAGAATGCCAACTTCAGCAGTACAGGGACAGGGACTTTGGGAGTCTATTTTGTTCACTAACTGTATCCTTAGTACTAGTCCTAGTTACTAAGTGACTAAGGATACCCCATTTACTAAGGATACCCCATCTACTAGTACTAAGGATACAGTTACTAAGGATACCCCATCTACTGAGGTCCTGGCATGTTGCAGGAGCTCAGTAGATGTTTGTCATATGAATGAAGGCGGATCACGTGCCTCAGGAGATGTGGCTGGACCCTTATGTGAATGTCTCCCATCCCTTTAGCACCAAAGACCCTAATGGCAGAGAAGATCAAAAGACGTGGCCTGAAGCCTGGGGATGGTGGCCTAATGAAAGCAGGATGCTTATGTTTATTGTTATTATTGAGATCTAATTCACAAACCATACAATTCATCTATTAAAGTACGCAATTCAGTGATTTGTAGTATATTCACAGTCATGCAACCATTGCCCCAATTTTACAACATCTTTACCACCCCAAAAAGAGATCCTGTACTCATAAGCTATCATCCCCACACACATTAACTCCATCCCTTTGTCCCTAGGAAAATACTGATTTACTTTTTCTGTGTATAGATTTGTCTATTCTGCACATTTCATATCAGTGGACTCAGACAATATGTGGTCTTTTGTAAGTGATTTGTTTCAGTTAGCATAATGTGTCCAAGGTTCATCCATGTTGGGGCATGTATCAGCACTTCATTTCTTTTCTGAATAATATCCTTTTTTTTTTTTTTTTTAAATGGAGTTTTACTCTTCTTACCCAGGCTACGGTGCAATGGTGTGACCTCAGCTCACTGCAAACTCTGCCTCCCGAGTTCAAGAGGTTCTCCTGCCTCAACCTCCGGAGTAGCTAGGATTACAGGCACACACCACCACACCCAGCTAATTTTGTATTTTTAGTAGATATGGGGTTTCACCATGTTGGTCAGGATGGTCTCGAACTCCTGACCTCAGGTGATCTACCCGCCTCAGCCTCCCAAACTGCTGGGATTACAGGTGTGAGCCACCACGCCCAGCCAAATAATATTCTAGGCAGGCGGATCACAAAGTCAGGAGATCGAGACCATCCTGGCTAACACGGTGAAACCCCGTCTCTACTAAAAATACAAAAAAAATTAGCCGGGCATGGTGGTGGCGCCTGTAGTCCCAGCTACTCAGGAGGCTGAGGCAGGAAAACGGCGTGAACTCGGGAGGCGGAGCTTGCAGTGAGCCGAGATCGCGCCACTGCACTCTAGCCTGGGCGACAGAGCGAGACTCCATCTCAAAAAAAAAAAAAAAAAAAAAAAAAATTCTATTATGTGGATACATCACATTTTGCTTATCTGTTCATCAGCGGATGGACATTTAGTTTCTTCCTGCTTTTGCCTATTATGTGTAATGTCACTATGAACATTCATGTGCAAGTTTCTGTGGATATATGTTTCCATTTCTCTTGGTTATATACCCAGGCATGGGTCACATGGTCCCTCTGTGTTTAACATTTTGAGGAACTGCCAGGCTGTTTTCCAAAGTAGCTACACCATGTCACAGTCCCACCAGCAGTGCACAAGGGCCCTGATCCCTGCTGTTGTCCCCAACACTGCTACTGTAGGAAGCTGCTTTTTAGTCTCATTGTTTATCTTACATTCCTTGTAAACTTTGCATTCTTTTCTATAATATAAAGGGTTCATTGTCAAAGTTAAAATATTTACTGTTAGGAAAAATAAAGGAAAAACAAAAATGAGAAGCATTTGGATTGTGCATATTCATTTTGGGAAACTGGGTTGCATTAAAGAAAAGGGAAGAAAGCTGTAGCTGTCAGATTCAGTTTCTAGAAACTTTCTCTTCTCTGTTTGGGTGCTTCAGTATTTTGAGGACCTAGACCCCATAAATATGTGGGCACAGAGTAAAAGGATTTTCTCTTTGCTTTGTATGCTTGTCCAGCAGAATCACTAAAGAGATTCCTTGAGGCCAGGCACAGTGGCTCATACCTCTAATCCTAGCGGTTTGGGAGGCCGAGGCAGGTGGATTACCTGAGCTCAGCAGTTCGAGACCACCCTAGGTAACACAGTGAAACCCAGTCCCTACTAAAATACAAAAAATTAGCCAGGCGAGGTGGCACGTGCCTGTAGTCCCAGCTACTCAGGAGGCTGAGGCATGAGAATCGCTTGAACCCGGGAGGCGGAGGTTGCAGTGAGCTGAGATTGTGCCATGCACTCCAGCTGGGGCAACAGAGCAAGACTCTGTCTCCAAAATAAAAATAAAAAGAGATTCCTTGAGGTACAACAAAACTATGGCCCGTTTTTAGGCTTCTGCAGGTGAAAATGTCAAAAAATGCATTTCCTTGCAGGTGGTGAACTGAATGAACTCTGATTTGCTAGTCAATCTCTTTTAGATTCTTGAGTATCTAAAACCGTTTTAGTGAAGTGAGATAATGGAGGCTGTTTTCTATATTTTTACCCCAACACTATAATTTTCATAATATGAACTGAACTTGAGGTTACAAAAGATTAATTGTTCACCATCAACATTTGCATTCATTTGCAGAGCTTTACTTTTTTGGAAATGATCTTATCATGTGCAGGAAAAAACATTCCTAGCTTTCTTTTGCCCTGGTAGACTGTGGAAATTCAGCTTTGAAAAAAGATTTGTGAGCCACTCTTCATGATTAATGTTATTTATTTGGATTTTTCAAAGCTGTAGTCAGGATTTTTATTTGTTTGTATTTGTTCTCCTTGAAGAAAACTAGTAATTCATCTATGAGTTTGAAAACTCCACATAGCACTTTCCCTGGCTGAGAAGGAAAAGGATATACCTAGAATACAATTTTGAAGTCAAATTTCAGAGGCAGTTTTCATTTTCTTAATAATTTCCCTTAAAAGACAAGTTTTCAAACCACTAGACTTTTTTTTTTTTTTTTTTTTTTTTTTTTTTTTTTTTTTCATGAAACTCCCAGAGGCTTAACAGGATGGTGTTGGTGAATGATGCCGTGGTTTCTGGTACATGCACGGGGCAAAATGTTCCAGTGCAGCTGTGTGTCATTGCTGGGTGCCAGCTGTGTGCATAATTGTTTATTGGTTCCAGTTGATATTGTGCTCAATAAAACACTCACATATTTGTGGAAAAAAAATCTTTATCAGTTATTTTCCCATCAAATCCTTTGCAAATTAAAACATATTCAACAATTTTCATCAGCATACATTTAGCAAAAGAAAAGTAAATGAAGAAATTAACAAATCTGCTTTCTGCAGGGTGAAGAACCAAGTTAGCCTGTGTCCCAGTTAACCATCGCTAAGTAACAAACCATCGCAAAATATAATAGCTTAAAATAACCAGCATTTATGTAGCTCATGATTGCATATGTTGGTAATCCAGGCGGGGCTCAGCAAGGCAGTTCTCCTCTCCCTCATGCATCTGTGGTCAGTTGCAAGTCAAGTGGATGACACTGCTGATGTCAGCTGGGTTCTCTCCCCTCTCTGAGGCCTGGGCTGAGATAACTAGGCTGCCTCAGCTTTGATCCACCTGCTCTCATCTTCCAGCAGGTTAGACCAGGCTTGTTCACATGGCAGCTAGGCAGTCTTCCAAGAGATCAAATTGAAGCATCAAAGTCCTTTGGAGACTTAAATTTTGAACTAGCATATTATCACTCCTGCATTTTATTGGCCAAGACAAACCAGAAGACCAGCCCAGATTCAAGTGGAAGAAAAACAGATTTCACTTCTAGACATCACTTCACAGTCACATTACAAAGCCGTGAAACAGGAAGGAGTGAGAGATAGTGGCCATTTTTTACAATGTTTCACAACATATTTCATGGCTGTCCAAGAATGTATTAAGAACACATTAAAATAGGCCATGTTTTTGTATCCTTTAATTACAGTGCTTTTTTATATACCTCAAACTCGTCTTTTGGACTTAAAAGAGATTGGCCATGTCTATAACAAAGGACTTTTTCAAATTTTCTCTTTTGACATGAGTTGCATGTTTCTGGCAATTCTGAAGCAGATCTTAAAGAACTCTCCACCACTTGCGTTTGGGTTTTCATTTTAGTTTTCTTAGGCAAGACTTCCTCCTTTTTAGTTGCAAAATAAATAAAATGGTTTTTCTTCAAAATTTTTTATTATGAGTTTTTAAATGGCATTGCGACAGTGTTAAGTTTGGGCAATTTCTGTTTATTTTATTACACAAGAGACACCATGGTTTAGAATTGTTCGTACATCCATAATAATTAACTCATCTTTTAAATAAGCACCTAAGAACATCTGACACCTTTTGCATTCATAATTACTGTTTATTTTGAATTCATTTGTGGTTATCTTATGTTTCCATGCTGGTCTCAACTGTTGACTCAAAAATCAAAATTATTGCAATTGCAAAGGTAAAGACAGAAAGGTACTGTGGGTGTTAAGAAATGGGAACTTTTATACGTTACTGATGGGAACGGAAATTTGTTCAATTACTTCAGACAGCAAATTGGCAATACCTAGTAAAGACACACACCCTACAGAAAGCAATTTTACTTCCAAATGTTTATCCTAGAGAAAATCTCACACACTACAAAGGAGACATGTACAAAGGCAGTCCTTGCACCCTTTCATTCATTTATTCATTTGCTCGGCAAGTATTTATTAAGCACATACTGTGTCTCACATAGCAGAAGACAAAACAAAAATCCTGCCTGCAAAGGGCTTACATTCCAGAGGAAAAAGATATGTAATGAGCAAAATAAATAAGGAAATACATTGCAGGAAAACTGATGATAAGGGCTGTGAAAAAACAATAAGAGAGTGAAAAAGAATAGGAAGTGTTGGGGAGGAGGCTAAAACTGTAACTAGGCTGTACAGCGATGGCCTCACTGAGAATGTCACAATTAGAGTTGCAGATTTAACAAATACAAATATAAGATTCCCACATAAATTTTAGATAATCAGTGAATCTTTTGTTAGGGTAAGTATATCCCACATAGCACTTGGGGGTATACTTATACTACACATGAACTTGTTGTTTATCTGAAATTCAAATTTAACTGGATTTCCTGTCTTTTCTCTGGCAATGCTACTGATAACTGAGTAAAAACATGGGAAGAAGAGGGAGCAAATTAAGTGGACATGTTGAGAAGGTCATCAAATGAATGAATTCCCGGAAGAGGAGCTTGGCAGGCAGAGGAACCGCTAGGAGCAAAGGCCCTGGCTGTTTGTAAATAATGAACACTTAGACGTAACTTGTCTCTCAGCTGGAGAACGTAGACACATCCTGTGGTATATTTGCACCATGGAATCCAATAAATGGATGAAATTCAAAAACACTCATATTGATAAATCTCAAAAATGTGATGTTGAATGGAAAATAAGTTGGGAAAAGATAACTCTGTTCTAGCTGCATTTCTGTAAAGTTGAAAAACACACAAAACAGTGTATACTGCTTATGCTACATTCATATGCAAAGGACAGAAACAAATAGGGAATGCTAGAGACCTACTGTAGGAGACTATCACCTTCTGGGGAGGGAATGGGGAGGGAAGGAAAAAGGATGAGAAGCATGGCTTTAGCAAGCTCTCTCTCTCTTGCTTTCAATAAGCAAAGAAGATAAAGTGTTTAACTTTAATGGTAGTTACATAGCAGTCTAATATATTTTCTGTCCTTTTTTTTTTTTTTTTTTTTTTTTTTAGATGGAGTTTCCGTCTTCTTGTCCAGGCTGGAGTGCAGTGGCACGATCTTGGCTCACTGCAACCTCTGCCTCCAGGGTTCAAGCGATTCTCCTGCCTCAGCCTCCTGAGTAGCTGGGATTACAGGTGCCCGCCACCATGCCTGGCTAATTTTGTATTTTTAGTAGAGACGGGGTTTTACCATGTTGGCCAGGCTGGTCGTGAACTCCTGACCTCAGGTGATCCGCCTGCCTCGGCCTCCCAAAGTGCTGGCATTACAGGTGTGAGCCACTGCACCCGGCCTATCTGTGCTTTTTTTTTTTTTAAGTGACTTTAAAATTTAAAAACCCAGAATTTTAGGTACTTTTGTATTATGAGGAACTCACTATACTAGGAAGCAACTTATGAGTGTGTAAATATTTGATCTAGCAGCAACTTTCCACTGATCCTGGCAGGTGACAGCTCTCAGTGAACAGCGCTCATCACCTAAAGTGAGAGGCTGTCTATTCTCATTGTGAATGTCCCTCAGAGTCACTAGGAGCCATTGGGCAGGCCAGGAACTTACTGCCTACTTCCTCGTCTGTCAGGTGGAGGTGTTGACACAAGCCTTGAACCCTCAACAAATAAGACAACAGCCACATGGTGCCTGTAAGTATTGTAAGAATCGGCGGTTGTGGCATTTCATTTTGTCTGATCTGGGACCCGCCGTGGGTTTCCCTTTGAACTGAACATTGCAACTTTCTAGGTATAGACTTTTGGCAAGTTACTTAATGTTCCTGAGCCTCGATTTCTGGATCTATACAATTGGAATTAACAAGACCTGCTGTGCAGTCTTGCTGCAGATTATAGATAATGTACATAATATGCACATCACCGCCCAACAGATAATAGATATTATTATTATTACTGTTATTATTAGCTGATCATAGTTTAGGTTATAACCATTTCCAAAAGAATTTCCTTTGTAAGAACACACTTAGACAACTCAGGTGCATTTTCTATTTTTCTCTACAGACTACCTTCTGATGTAAAATATAATTTTAGTTCTAACTCCTAAAAAATGGAATGAAATGGGTTCTCCATCATTTTTCGGCAGTGTTGTCACTGACTTGCTGAGTGACGTAGGGCTGCAAGGGCCTGAGAAGGTAGAAGGAACCAGAAGTTGACCTATGGGCGTGGATAATACTGCGCCACACAGTTGAGGATGAGACACAGCAACACCTCAGGGGTAAATGCTGAAGTTCAGAGCACGCACCTTTAGATGTGACTGACGGGCATTCCCATGGGAAGGCAAACAGTGCACCCTCAATTGCTGAAAGGTTGTGGGCTATTTAAATGCATTTGAATTCACTCCTAAGTTATTCACACACGAGCAGGGCGAACATCTCGGCAAGGAGCATACACTTGGTGCACTCAGAGGACAGGGATGGAATTGGAATGTAGGGCACAGTTATTTAGGACAAGACTGTTTCCTATGATTAACTTACAAGATGTAATTCACCCGGGGTCTCATTAAAGCTCACAGCAGTTACCTATGAGGCTCAAACCAAGGATTGACATCTAACATAGTGGAGAAGACGGTATTGTATACAGACAAAAGCTGCCAGATTTCACGCCCTTAGTGGATGCTGATAATGGAAATAATACCATAGCATATATTTTATTTAACATGTACTCTGTGCCAAAAACTCCCTCTTTATACATTACACAATGCAACCCTCATAGCATGCCTATGAGTAGGAATCTGAGATGAAGAAAAGGTTAGAACTCATTAGCCTAAAGTTACACCACTAGTAAGCTGTTGGTTGGTGGTTCAAACCTCAGGAGTCAGCTACCATAGCCTGTACTGCTGACCACTGTGTTATTGCACTCTGTGTCTTTGGGCAGGAAAGTGGATTAAACACCAGTTTCAGCCTGCTATATAGACAGATAAAAAAAGGCCCTTCTGGAAGATTCAGGCTGACCTGTTCAAAGTCACACAGGGAGAAGGAGCAGAATCAGAGATGTGACTGTGATTGCCATGAGGGTTACGTTGAAAATCAACAGAATCCATAAGTAGCTGCATTCTAATACACACCAAGAAGGATGCCAAGGTCCCAGACTGGGGGCTGCAGAGGCTCAGCCTATGCCTCATCATGGGGCTCGGCCCTGTTGACCCAGAACATTTCCAGGTGTCTGCAGAGCTCTGCTCGGGTGCCATGATTCTGATTTCAAGGGGTGGCAGAAATGTTCTGTGGCTGAACATGATTTTTGGCGCTTAAACTTCCAATTCTTTCCTCAAGGTTCCCCTCCGCTCCTCCAGAAACCAATCTGAGACTTCGCACTGCAAGCCCTTTATCAACCCATGCCTCCTTTTGCTCAAAATTAAGCCATGACGGAAAAAACGGAATGCACTTTGGAGGTCTTAAAAATTGACTTGGATACAAATCTGCTTCCTTCTAGGTACAGACTTTTGGCAAGTTACTTAGTGTTTCTGAGCCTCCATTTCCGAATCTATACAATGGAAATTAACAAGACCTACAGTGTTGTGTTGCCACAGAAATTATAGATAATGCGTGTAATGTGCATGGCACTCAACAAATAGTAGATATTATTATTATTATCACTATTATTATGAGCTGATCATATTAATAGTTTAGGTTATAACCATTTCCAAGGGAATTTCCTTTGTAAAGAGCACAAGGGGCATTCTCTGAAGATTTGAAAGGTACTTTCCTTTCTCTTCACTATGTATTTCCTCTTCTACTGAGAACTTGATTTCACTTTTGAGAAAAAATCTGTGCCTACCTTCCCAAAACCACACAAAGAAGTTAAAAGTACATGAACAAAGGAAGAACCTTAGATCTCTAAGAGCCAACATGAAAACAATTCATAGTTTACAAAGGAGAGACTAGGGAGAGATGGAAGCATGTCTATTTCAAGATCTAATAGAAACTAGACCTGCTCTATTATTAAGAGCTTTTATTAGGCCCCCTCAAAAGCTTTCAGGAGTCTTCAAAATGCATTGCAGGTATCCCCAAAAAAGTGGGCTTTATTGTTGGGGCCAGTGTTGCGACTGGTCCTTGTTCATTTATGAGAAACAGTGGTCACAGTTCCAGACTTTAAGGAAGGCTGCCTTCCTTAAAACTGTTTTAAGGAGTTGCGTATTAACACTGGTCAAATGCTGTTTTCTTTTCTTTTTTTTTTTTTTTTTTGAGATAGAGTCTCACTCTGTCGCCCAGGCTGGAGTGCAGTGGCACAATCTCCGCTCACTGCAACCTCTGCCTTCCGGGTTCAAGCGATTCTCCTGCCTCAGCCTCCTGCGTAGCTGGGATTGCAGGCATCCACCACCACACTGGCTAATTTTTGTATTTTTTAGTAGAGACAGGGTTTCGCCACGTTGGCCAGGCTGGTCTCAAACTCCTGACCTCAGGTGATCCTCCTGCCTTGGCTTTCCAAAGTGCTGGGATTACAAACGCTGCTTTCTACCATCACTGACTCCCCTGCTTTTTATTAGCAGGATGGATTTAACTATAAAAATCTATTGGGTTCTGATCACAATGCTTGGCTAAAAGAAAGTGATAAAGTGAAATTAAATACCATACACCGTGTACAGGTGAACACATTTTGAGGATCTGGAATACAAGAAAATTATTAAAACACAAAGCACTGCCGTGATGCCTGTCTTTGAAGAATTCTTGACGGAGAGCAGTATAAAGACATATGCAAAGGTGGTGATGAAAACGTGCTGAGCATAGAGATGCGCATGGGTTATTTAGGGCATGGGAGAGGGGAACCTCGGGGAAGGCTTCCCGGGGAATGAGGCGTCTGAGCGGAGCTGGAAGAGTGAGTGGGAGTCAACCAGGTGTCAGGGAGGACGGGAGGGTTTTCCGCGCAGATGTACGGCCGTGCGAAAGCAAGAAGGCAAGAAGCACAGGGGCCTGTAGGAGCGTTCTCCTTGGCTGGGAGGCGAAACGCCAGCAGGAAATAGTGGTTGGTGAGGCCAGACAGGCAGGCAGGCCCTATTTTCAACTGGACTGTAGGCAAAAGGGGACAAAGGCCACTTCCGCATCTGTTCACTGTCATGTCCCAGCCCCCACCAGTGCCTGGTGATGAACAAATGCCAGGGAGCTTCAGCTTCACTCGGGGTGTGAGAGATATTTAGATATTTCAGAAGTGGAGCGACACGATTATATTTCATTTTAGATAGGGAGGCAATCGGTTAGGAAGCATTTCCATCAGAATTAAGTTCTTAAGACTGCAATTCTACATCCAAGAATGTCCATTCATTCATTTTATTCACTCATCAGACAATTTTTTTTTTTAAGAGACAAGCTGTCGCTGTCACCCAGGCTGGAGTGTAGTGGCATGGTCCTATCTCACTGCAGCCTCCAACACCTGGGTTCACACCATCTTCCCACTTCTGCCTCTAGGGTAGCTGGGACCACAGGCACATGTCACCACCACGCCCTGGCTATTTTTTTTTTATTTTTATTTTTTTAGAGATGGGGTCTTGCTATGTTGCCCAGGCTGGTCTCAAACTCTTGGCCTCAAGTGATCCTCATGCCTCAGCCTCCTGAGTAGCTGGGACTACAGGCGTGCATCACTACACCTGGCTAATTTTTATTTAAAAACATTTTTTGTAGAGTTGGAGTCTTGCTATGTTGCCCAGGCTGGTCTCAAACTCCTGGCCTAGAGTGATCCTCCTGCCTTCACCTTCCAAAGTGCTGGAATTACAGGCATAAGCCACCATGCACGGCCTCAACAAATATCTATTGAATGTTTAGTATGTTCCAAAGACTGTTCTAGGCTCAGGAGATTTAGCAAAAAGCCAAATGGACGTAAATCCCTGCTCTCGTGGGAAGGACAGGTAATAAAACAAACAGCTAAGTAAATAAATGGTACAGTCTGTTAGAAGGCAAAAGAAAGAATGGAGACAAACTAGGAAAGGGATTAGGAACGGGGGGAGCAGGAGGTGGGCAGGTGGGAGGAGTTGCTATTTTTAAGAAAGGTGGTTAGAAAAGATCTCACTAATAAGGGTACATCTGAGCAGGGACCTGAAAAGGTAAGAGCTTGATTCCTACTGGTATCTGGAGGAGGGCCTTCCAAGCAGATGGAAGTGCAAAGGCCCTGGGGCTAGCACAAGCGTAAAGACAACAGGGTGCCCGGAGCACAGTAAAAGCCAAGAGGTAGGAAAATTGTGCTGAGTGTAAGCTCCAATCAGCAGGATCAATATCTTTGGAATCTGTTAAAAATGTAAATTATTACACCCTAACCCAAGCTAAGAATCAGAGACCTGGGTTGGAAATGGGAGTGGGGGTAACACTCAAGAATCTGTTGTTTGTTGTTGTTTTTTTTTTTTTTTTTTGAGACTGCATCTCACTCTGTCATCCAGGCTGGAGTGCAGTGGCGTGATCTTGGCTCACTGCAATCTCCACCTCCCGGGTTCAAGCAGTCCTCCTGCCTCAGCCTCCCAAGTAGCTGGGATTACAAGTGTGTGCCACCACACCCAGCTATTTTTTTGTGTTTTAGTATAGATGGGATTTCACCATGTTGGCCAGGCTGGTCTTGAACTCCTGACCTCAAGTGATCCACCTGCCTCGGCCTCCCAAGGTGCTGGGATTACAGGTGTGAGCCACTGTGCCCAGCCCAGGAATCTATTTTGACTGGTCTTCCAGGGGATTCTCATGTTGGCTCAGTTGGCTCATCTCTGTCACTCTCTCTCTCTCTCTCTCTCTCTCTCTCTCTCTCCAGTATTTTGCCTAACCATCAATTTCCATAAGTCTAAATGCCCTCCATGTATAGATATCTCCAACTTTTTTATTTTCCATGCAGAGAGATCTTTCTAAATGTTAACCTTTTGTACCCAATCCCATCTCAACAAATAAGCCTAGGCTGGCACACTGGCTCATGCCTGTAATCCCAACACTTTGGGAGGCCAAGGCATGAGGATCACTTGAGTTCAAGACCAGCCTGGGCCACATAGCAAGACCCCATCTTTACAAAAAAATTTAAAAATAAAAATTAGCCAGGTATAGTGGTACATGCCTGTAGCCCCAGCTACTCAGGAGGCTGAGACAGGAGGATCACTTGAGCTCAGGGGTTCAAGGTTACAGTGAGCTATGATCACGCCACTGTACTCCAGCCTGGATGACAGTGTGAGACCCTGTCTCTAAAACAAACAAATATACAAAAAATTAAATAGCCTATCTTCTTATTTAGTGAAATCAGAATCCTAGAAATTTGATAGCCTGAACCATATTATTATTTATTAACAGATTATTTGCTATTATAATTTGGAGTAGGTCTGACTTCTATGGGGTGGCAGGAGAAATCATTGCCTCCCAAGTCATCACTGGGGGCCAGCTTCCTGCCCTGTCCCCGCTCTGAGAAGCTCACTCGCCTGTTCTCCCTGGGGCTGGGAGGTCCCGGGGCTCTTACTTCCTGCTCTGGCCCATCCTTTCAATATAGTCCTATTGCTCACTTGAGAGATTGGTAGATTGATGTCACTTGCACATAAACCTTCACAATAATTGATGTTACAATAGGAAAAGGAATATTTGCTGAAAATCTTTTCCATTCTTTTTTTTTTTTTTTTTGAGATGAAGTCTCGCTCTGTTGCCCATGCTGGAGTGCAGTGGCATGATCTCAGCTCACTGCAACCTCCACCTCCTGGGCTCAGAGATTCTGCTGCCTCAGCCTCCTGAGTAGCTGGGATTATAGGCACCCGCCACCATGCCCAGCTAATTTTTGTATTTTTTGTAGAGACAGGTTTCACCATGTTGGCCAGGCTGGTCTCAAACTCCTGATCTCTGGTTCAAGGCAGATCCACCTGCCCTGGCCTCCCAAAGTGCTGGGATTACAGGCATGAGCCACCACACCCAGCCTCCATTCAATTTTACAAATATTTCTGCCTTAGCTGCTTTTTGCAGTGAAGCAATGGGCCAATAAATAAATTATAATTATTTGTGCTAGGCACGAGAAGGGACGCAATACCACCTAATACTCGACCATGCCTGAGGGTTGAGGAACACACCTTAGGGTTGAGAGCACCGGCTCTGGAATCAGACTGCCTGAGTTTGGTAACTGGCAGTGGCCGACTTCTCGTCTGTAGGATCTGAGATGGCTTATCACACCTCTCCCTGTGTTTCCATTCCCTCACCTATAAATGGGGTTAACAATAGTGCCCATCTCAGAGGGCTGTTGCGAAGACTGAGTTATTATACGTAAATCACATAATCAGTACCTGGCACTTGGTAAATGCCAACTAAGTTTTAACCTTCTTATTTTATTTTATTTTATTTTATTTTAGAGACGGAATCTCGCTCTGTCGCCCAGGCTGGAGTACAGTGGCGTGATCTAGGCTCACTGCAACCTCTGCCTCCCAGGCTCAAGTAATTCTCCTGCCTCAGCCTCCTGAGTAGCTGGGATTACAGGCACCTGCCAACACGCCTGGCTAATTTTTGTATTTTTAGTAGAGATGGGGTTTCACCATGTTGGCCAGGCTGGTCTCAAACTCCTGACCTCAATTGATCCACCCACCTCGACCTCCCAAAGTCCCGGGATTACAGGCATGAGCCACCATGCCCGGCCCTATTTTTATTAATACATATTTCTGAGTAAATAAACAAAAAAGCCTTAGGGAGAGAGCTAGCCGAAGGTACTTGAGTATACTTAGAATGTTAACCAATTTTATACCGTGGTACTCGCTGGAATACAGGTACTCCCAGGGGCTCCAAGGTACTTTAATTAGCTTGTGATGTTTTGATTGATTCTTGTCTGTGTTTCAGGAAGCCTTGCTCTGGGTTTTTGTTGCCATGAGTTGCAGTCTAAATCATGATTCCCAGCCAAGAAAAATCATAACCAACTATCTAATGTAATGAGAACACAACAAAACTATAAAACTTGGTTATTTCAAATGACAGAGCTGTTGGTGAAAAAATAACAAAATAAAACACAGCCATTGGATAATTTCTTCATACACCCCGGGGACCCTGGTTTTAAGTACTTGATCGCAGGCCACACATGACAGGAGACGGAATTATCCCTTTTTGATTGAAGTGGCTCAGAATTGGCCTCTAATTGACCTGGGAGTAGGAAGCAAAAAGGATTGGGTATAAAAATATAATAGGATTCACTTGAAACCAGCCAAGCACTTTAACCTGCCCCAGAGGGATCTCTCTGCATTTTTAACACCTGCTTGACATATGAAAGGAAAACTTGCCAGTGTTATTCACTATAAACACAGAAAATGGAATGTAAAGCTATGTCCATATGGTGCAGGTTAGGAACTGATGGAACGACACAGGAGCCTATCAATTCCCAGGTGTCTTCCGCTGTAACTGGGACTCCATCCACAGTTAATAGTGAATACAAAGTAATTCTGTGGCCATGCTGCCTGTGACCGCCAGTGTATTTCACATGTACAGCCTGTGGCAGGCAAGCATGGACAATAAGAGCTCAAGCCTCCAAAAGACGACTCTGGGTTCAAATCTGATCAGCAGAGTCCCCTCAGGCATGTGGCTTCATTTTCTTTTTTGTCATAGAGACAGGGTCTCGCTCTGGCACCCAGGCTGGAATGCAGTGGTATGATCATAGCTCACTGCAGCCTCAAACTGCTGGACTGAAGCTATCGTCCCACCTCAGCCTGCCAGAAAAAGTGCTGGAATTACAGGTGTGAGCCACCACACCTGGCCCACTTCACCTTTTTACATCCCAAGTTCCTTGTCTGTAGAAAAGGGACAGAACAGTTTCCACCTCATAGGAATCCCATGATGATTAAATTAAAGTTTGGAAAGCTCTAGCACTGCCTAATACAGAGTACATACTCACCAAGGGACAGAACAGTTTCCACCTCATAGGAATCCCATGATGATTAAATTAAAGTTTGGAAAGCTCTAGCACTGCCTAATACAGAGTACATACTCACCACAATGTTAGTTGTTCACTATTATCAGTTGTGTGGTTTTGGAAACAATATGTGTTGAACCCCTAGTCTTCATAAGGCTGGCAATAGATATTATCAGGCTTATTTTATTTTATTTTATAGACAGGGTCTTGCTCTGTCACCCAGGCTGGAGTGCAGTGGTGCGATCACAAACTTCTGAGCTCAAGTGATCCTCCCACCGCATCCTCCCAAGTAGCTGAGACTACAGGTGCAAACCCAGCTAATTTTTAAATTTTTTTTGTAGAGACAGGGGTCTCACTATGTAGCCCAGGCTGGTCTCAAATTCCTAGCCTCAAGTGATCCTCCCACCTCGGCCCTCCAGAGAGCTGGAATTACAGGTGTGAGCCACTGTGCCCAGCTCCCAGGCTCATTTTAAAGGTGAGAAACAGCTTCAATAAGAGGCTTATTCAAGGTTGCCCTGGAAAAGGAGTCCAAGACTGCCCAATGGTATTAGCTCCAAGGACAGGATTACACAACCCAGCTTCAGGTCCTCCCTTACCTTGTCTCCTGTCCTCAGCTCGGCAAGTACACAAAGGCTTGAGTGGGAGAGATCTTTCTCCACCAATAGTGAGACCCTAGCAAAGATCAGAGCTAAGCCATCATCTCTTAATTGTCCCATGTATGCTCCAAGCTGGTCAGAGAAGCTGTGACTCAAATCCTAGAGTTAAGAACCTGGCACTTGTTATTAGTGGAGAAGACAGAATTTTTGCTCCATCACTTTGGGCATACACACAAAATCACATTAATTTATTTCTCTAAACCCAATTAAATTTGACTACATCCTCATTCATTGGGATGGCAAGAATTTGCATCCTCTTCCCTCTCTCTCAGGCCACCTTGGACCTCTAAACAGGGAAGTGGTCTCGTTATCAATTTTTTATTTTTTTATTTTTTTGAGATGGAGTCTCTCTCTGTCACCCAGACTGGAGTACAGTGGCACAATCTCAGCTCACTGCAACCTCCACCTCCTGGGTTCAAGTAATTCTCCACCTCCCAAGTAGCTGGGACTACAGGCACGCCCCACCACACCCAGCTGACTTTTATATTTTTAGTAGAGACTGGCTTTCACTATGTTATCCAGGCTGGTCTCAAACTCCTGACCTCAGGTGATCCGTCCACCTTGGCCTCCCAAAGTGCTGGGATTACAGGCATGAGCCACCGCACCCAGCCTCTTGTCATCAATCTAATAGAGTTGCCACTAAGGTGCTTGGGGCAAAAGGACTGGCCGTTCATTTTGAGGCCAGACTCCAACCCTCTTAACTGAACTCCAGGATCCTTTGCTGTGCCTAAGACACATATCTTAGCTTTTTTTTTTTTTTTTTTTGAGTCGGAGTCTCTGTCTGTCACCCAGGCTGGAGTGCAATGACGGATCTCAGCTCACTGCAGCCTCCGCCTCCCAGGTTCAAGCAATTCTCCTGCCTCAGCCTTCTGAGTAGCTGGGATCACAGGCAGCTGCAACCACACCCGGCTAATTTTTTGTATTTTTAGCAGAGACGGGGTTTCACCATGTTGACCAGGCTGGTCTTGAACTCCTGGCCTCAGGTGATCCACCCTGCTTGGCATCCCAAAGTGCTGGGATTACAGGCTTGAGCCACTGTACCTATAATCTAAGGCCTATAATGTTTAATTCTAAGACACATATCTTAGAATTTAGCTCCCAACTCACAGGCCATGCACTGGCCCATCAGGTTGCCTGCCCACTCTTGAGGCACTCAGCAGGCATAGGGTCTCGTGTCATCTGCCCATCATGTACAGATGTTCTCTCTTCCTTCTTTTGGGGGTGCTATCACCCTTCTCCATCCCTTCCTACCTCCCCCATTTCCAAACCTCAGAGCACCTCTCCTCTCTTTAAGAGTTCAGCTCTTTCCAAAGTAAAGCTCCTTCAGTCTGTGTAAGAGAAGCAAGGGTTACCCCAGGTATTCAGCTCTCCAAATCCTGCTGACCCACTGAAATAACAAAAAGAAAAGTATTTCTGCTGCTTCTTTCTTCTCCAGCAAGGACAGCAAAACACAAGGCAAAGGCCCATAAACCCGGCTGCCATGTTTCTCTTTGCAGAAAGAGTCTCGAAAAGTATTAAACTCAAGCTGAAAATGGAAGCACTCTAAATTATTTAATCACAACTACATGTTAGGGCTGGTCAGCGAAGCAGCACTTTGCAAAATATTCTTTGATTCATAGCCACTTACGCCTAGTGTTCCATTTTTGGAATGCCACTTAACTGAACAATGGGGCATAATAAAAATTTTATCTCTTCAAATTCTTGTTCCTTGAATTTTTCTAGGTAATATATATGAATTTCATGCAAAAATTCAAAAATTTGCAACCTCACGCATAAACGGATTAAACCTTTGCAAGTAGCTGACTGAATTCTCAGTGGTAGAATCGGCTGCTCTTCGGGGAACAGACCATTGTGGAGTTTTGACTGGCAAAGCTTTTTATCTGTCAATTCCAAGGATAACCACTGGTGAAACAGGAAATCTATTTCTTTTTATGTTTTCATTTCCAGGTAACTTAAGTTTCAATTTTATTTTATTCATCAAGTTTTACCATGACCTATTTCTTTTCTTTCTTTTTTTTTTAACTTCAAGTTCTGGGACACATGTGCAGAACTTGCAGGTTTGTTACATAGGTATACTGTGCCATGGTGATTTGCTGAACCTATTAACCCATGATCTAGGTTTTAAGCCCCACATGCATTAGGTATCTGTCCTAATGCTTTCCCTCCCCTTGCCCCTCAGACCCTGACAGGCCCTGGTGTGTGATGTTCCCCTCCCTGTGTCCATGTGTTCTCATTATTAAACTCCCACTTATGAGTGAGAACATGCGGTGTTTGTTTTTCTGTTCCTGTGTTAGTTTGCTGAGAATGATGGCTTCCAGCTTCATCCATGTCTCTGCAAAGGATATGAACTCATTCTTTTTTACAGCTGCATAGTATTCCATGGTGTATATGTGCCACATTTTCTTTATCCAGTCTATCATTGATTAGCATTTGGGTTGGTTCTAAGTCTTTGCTATTGTAAATAGTGCTGCAATAAACATATATGTGCATGTGTCTTTATAGTAGAATGATTTATAATCCTTTGGGTATATACCAAGTAATGGGATTGCTGGGTCAAATGGGATTTTTGGTTCTAGATCCTTGAGGAATTGCCACACTGTCTTCCACAATGGTTGAACTAATTTACACTCCCACCAACAGCGTAAAAGCATTCCTGTTTCACCACAGCCTCGCCAGCACCTGTTGTTTCCTGACTTTTTAATAATCGCCATGCTAACTGGCATGAGATGGCATCTCATTGTGGTTTTGATTTGCATTTCTCTGATGACCAGTGATGACGAGATTTTTTTCATATGTTTGTTGGCTGCATAAATGTCTTCTTTTGAGAAGTGTCTGTTCATATCTTTTGCCCACTTTCTGATGGGCTTGTTTGTTTTTTTCTTGTAAATTTGTTTAAGTTCCTTGTAGATTCTGGATATTGGACCTTTGTCAGATGGGTAGATTGCAAAAATTTTCTCCCATTCTGTAGGTTGTCTGTTCACTCTGATGATAGTTTCTTTTGCTGTGCAGAAGCTCTTTAGTTGGATTAGATCCCATTTGTCAATTTTGTTGCAATTGCTTTTGGTGTTTTAGTCATCACGACCTATTTCTGTTAGTATTTCAAATTCTTCGAATACAGCTTTTCTTCCTTCAATTCTTATTTGTTCCCAGTCCAGGCCCCCAAGCACAAAAGGTTTTGGGAGGGGTAAAGAGATCTTGTGCCAGGTACTAGTTCTGGTTGTGGGGATACAGTGAAAACATGGCACATACACACCATGGAATACTATGCAGCCATAAAAAAAGAATGAGATCATATCCTTTGCAGGGACATGGATGGAGCTGTAGGCCATTATCCTTAGCAAACTAACATAGGAAGAAACCAAATTCTGCATGTTCTCATTTATAAATGGGAGCTAAACGATGAGAACACATGGACACATAGAGGGGAACAACACACAATGGGGCTTATCACAGGATAGAGGGTGAGAGGAGGGGGAAGATATGGAAAAATAACTAATGGGTAATAGGCTTAATACCTCAGTGACAAAATAATTTGTACAACAAACCTCCATGACGCTAGTTTACCTATGCAACAAACCTGCACGTGTACCCCTGAACTTAAATACAACTTTTTTAAAAAGCCCCAAAAGGTTTATGCTTATTCAGCCAGACCCTGTTCTAAGTGCTTTACATATATTAACTCGTTTAATCCTCATAACAGCCCTACAAGGTAGGCAATATTATTGTCCCCATTTCATAGATGAGTGTTCTCAACTGAGGCACAGAGAGGTTAAGAAACTTGCCTAAGCTTGCACAGCTAGTGGGTGGCCAGGCAAGATTCAAGCCCAGGCAGAATGGCTTCAGTCTGTGCCCTTCACACAGGTCTGTGAATCCTGATGGTGGCTAAGTGTTAAGAAAAAAATAAACAGGATGGTGATATATTAAGTACCTGGGGGAAAACATTCCCCATGTGCTGGTCACCGAAGGTTATCTAAGAGGCAGCATTTGAGTAAGAACCTGAAAGACGACCAGGAGCCAGCTACCCAAAGAGTGGGGTAGGGAGCAGGGCCTGGCCTTCCAGGGAGAGGAAGCAGGAAATGTGAATAATATGTGATGAAGACAAAGAGGATGTGGCAGGAGCAGTGAGAAGCCACCCGCAGTCTTTAAGCAGAGCAGTGATGTGAGCTGAGCTCTTTCTCCAGCCTGGGCTACTGGGTGATCCGCGGATGCGTGACCACCTGGAACATACGGAGCCCTGGAAGAGGGTTCTGTAGCTGGAGGGTAGGGGGTGACACGATTTCTGGTGGGGCTGGGTGGCAAAAGATAAGACTGGATGACCAGGGGGTCCTTATAGCCATCAGAAGGAATATGGACTTTTTGTCCCCAAAGCCAGGGAAGCCCTGAACAGGTTTTTAGCGAAAGTTACGGGATCAGATCTGGGATTTAGGAGAATCGCTCCAGCTGGAGTGGAGAATGCATCTGAGAGAGATAAGATCAGCACCCATTCACAGGGCTGCTGGAGACATCCTGGTGAAAGATGATGTGGCCTGAGTATGCCTGGCGCCCAGCAGTTGCTCACTCAGCTTCAGGCACTGTTGGGATAAGGGGCTGCCCTCATGACTTTTCATGAGGTAGTTATGAGGACAGGCTCCATGATCAGGTGAGGAATGAGAGAAAGGAGGGAGGGAAATGAGCTCTCTATCCCTGTTTCTGGCTTTGGGGAGGAGGAGGGAGCATGCTGTTTACTAGGAGAGGGAGCCTGGAGGCAGGATTGGCCAGTGAGGCAAGTTCAGTTTAGGACATACAGAATATGACAGTGGCCAAGGCGGAAAGCAGGAGGTGTAGATGTGGATAAAATTCAACAACTCCTCTAAGGATGGAAACAAAATATTGGAAGAGAAATGTATGTCTGAGCTGGGTGCGGTGGCTCACGCCTGTAATCCCAACACTGTGGCCAAGGTGGGTGGATCACCTGAGGTCAGGAGTTCAAGACCAGCCTGGCCAACATGGCAAAACCCCGCCTCTACTAAAAAATTAGCCGGGCATGGTGGTGGGTGCCTGTAATCCCAGCTACTCGGGAGGCTAAGGCAGAAGAATCGCTTGAACCCAGGAGGGGAGGCTGCAGTGAGCCGAGATTGTGCCACTGCACTATAGCCTGAGTAACAGAGACAGACTCTGTCTCAAAAAAAGAAAAAAAAATGTTGTAGGTCTGAACATTTCCTCATTGTCCATTACTAGGTGTTGCAGTCAAAACAAATCAGGACTAGAACTAGTCTGCGTGCAAAGAAACAATATGCCCTCTGAGGACCTCAGAACACAAGGAGATGGGCTCCAATTGCATTATCAAAAAATGGGGTTTTGCATTGGAATACGCCTCACAGACTTTAGAGAGGTACCTGAGAATCCCATTCGAACCTGGCTTCAGATCATCAAGTCTCCAGTCAGCTTGAAATAACACAGGTAGTTAAGACCAGCCTGGGCAACATGACAAGATCCCGTCTCTACAAAAAATACAAAAATTAGCAGCGTGTGGTGGGGTGTGCCTGTAGTCCCAGTTACTTAGGAGGCTGAGGCAGGAAGATCACTTGAGCCCAGGACGGGGAGGTTACAGTGAGCCGTGATCACACCATCACACTCCAGCCTGGGTGACAGAGTGAAACTCTGTCTCTATAACAAACAAACAAACAAACACAAAACAGGTAGTCCTTAACACCAGCGTTCAACTTTTTTCTCCAATGCTAACTGTATGCCCAATTCCCTTTCTATTGATGGTGAGGCCTTTTGAACTGTTGAAAATTTTTACCAGTGTTGTTTAGAAAACAACACAGGACCTGTGACTGGAAAAAGGTATAATTTTCAGTCAGTTGGAAGACAGGATGTGAGTGATTTCTTTTTATTACGAAGTTTGTAAGTCCTCAGAGCCTACCGGTCTCCGGAAAATGATGTTTCTAGATCTACCAAGTACTAGATCAACCATGGTGGGAGGAAAACCAGTCTCTCCCCTGAAGAGTGGATGGGTGCAGGTTGGAAATTCTAGAGAAAGACTTTACCCAGAAACAAGTCGGCTTTTGCTAAGTGGAGGCTCTTGCCAGCATCCCCTTTTATTTTATCACCGTGTTTTGACAATTCATGAAAAAAAATGTGTCTAAGAGCAAATTGAGCTCCTCAAGCAATAAACATTTAGACATACCCTGTGAATTGAGTTATTGTTCTTGGTGGGGAATCTTCCCAGAGTTTGTTTCTCTTTTTTGGAAAGACAACGTGTCAGCCCGTTTTCCTACCCCGGGTCTCTCGCAATGGAAGTCTCCCTCTCCCAGTCATTGTCGCGAAGCCTTGACAATAGCCACATGCCTCGGTTATCCTGCAGCAACTTCCATTGAAGAGTTGAGGGGAGATTAAAATTCAATACAATTGGACTAGATCGAGGGGTAAGAGCTGTGCCTTCAGCCAAGGGAGCTGCTGTCTCCGGGCTCTCAGGGTAGGAGAGGGCCTCGAGCGGTGGCTTTGGGTGGGTTTTGTGGGGGAGCCAGGGGTCCCCCGCTTGGGGACCTCCGTGCTGGGCATCCCGCACGCTTTGGACGCGCGCAGCCTCACCGGGAGCGAACTTTGTCTCGCCTGCGGGTGCCACGGAGAGGGGCTGGGAAGCCGAGCCAGCTCTGGCGGCGACTGGGGGCGTCCCTGGCTTTCTGGGGGGGCGGGGGCGCGCATTGTTGTCCAGGATCGGGCGGCGGGCGGTGGCGGCGGCGGTGGCGCGCGGTGGCCGCCTAGCACCCGACCTAGCAGCGCGCCGGGGACTGGCTCGGGGCGCGCTGGGCGCACCATGCGGCGGGCCGGGCGCGGGCGAGGGGCGGGCCGGCGGCGGGGCTCACTGGCGCCGGGCCAGGCTCGGCGCGAGAGGCGCGAGCGGGCTATGGGCTGACGCCGAGGGCCCGCGGCGGGGGCGGCGGCGGGGACGGGGCGGGGGCTCGCCAGCTGCGGGCGCCAAGGCCGCCTAGTAGGCCAAGGGCCTTCGCCCGGGCGAATGGGACGCCCGTTCCGGGGTACCAGCCGCTTGCAGCCAGAAGTTCCTCGGATCCCTTGGAAGCGCAAAAAATAAAAGGTAATGTGTCTTTGTTTCCCGGTCGCGGTGGCAGGGAGGCGACTGACGGCAGCCCTTCGCCTTCCGTGTTTTCACGCTGGGCCGGGGAAAAGGGACGCGCCGCTGCTTCTTTACTGGGGGCCTGGAGTCGTTTATTTCGCGTATGTTACAGTTTTTAAATGCAAATCCCACGTGGGGCACATACTGTGCTTTCTTCTGCAACCCTCCCCTCGGCACACACACACCTACTTTCCTTGGGCACCTCAGTCCCACGCTGTCTGAATCTACCCGGGGAGATAGGAAAGGACATGGCTTTAGGCAGAGCTGTGTAGGCTTTTTTTAAAACCATTTTCTGAGAGTGCCAGGGGAGCCCTTTCCTTTGGGTGCAGGACAGGGCGTTTCAGACAAGGGTGGCGGGGGCCAGCAGCCGATCGCCGGTGCCCGGGGCTGCTAAGATGGACTGCTTTTTACGTTCCAAATGGCTGCAGCAAGTTTGATGCAGAGAAAACGGACGCTCGGAAGGGGAGGAGAACAGAAGGGAACCCCCTTTAGTACGTGCTCATTTAAAATTGGCTAAATGCAGTGCTTCTATATTGGAGGCAGCTGCTCAAATGTTGGTGCACGTTGAATTCAGAAAAGATTCCCGGTGCTGCACCGAGAAAGCTGCGTGGGCTGCCTGTGCGTAACGAGCGACTTGGTGCCTTTTTCTCCAGTACCCTGTTAGCAGAGTAACTGTTCGTACATTCAGGCGTATTCTGCGAAATTTCCAAGGGATGGCTGTGCTAATAATAGCTCTGGCGACGGCTTCTTAATAGACATCCTCATTCTGAACGATGCAGCCATGCCAGCCCCCCGGGAAGTGCAGCTTGCTGAGAAACGAGAACCAATGCCCGCAAAGGACTCCCTGACCCCACCATGAATGGATGCGGCTCTGGCTCCCCTATGAATGGAGCATCCCAGTGGAGACGCTGCTACTGCTGTTTCTGGCTTCTTTCAGTTCGAATCCTCCTCACAGATAGTGATGAAAGGGGTTGCTCTGAAAACCTAGACAGGCACATTTCTAAGTCTGAGCTGGTCAGTGGTGACAGCCTGTTCTATCGGGAATACATCTGCCTGGACCTGATTGAGGGTTCAGCTGCTGGTACCCCCCTTCCACCTCTGCATCCGTAAGTCGTCCTTTTCCAACAGCATCACTGATCTGTGGGAAAGCACCGCTCAGAGAGCCCGGGACAAACTGCTGACTTCATCCTGGGAAGCCACTGCTGACCCTGGGGAAGTACCTTAGGAACTGGATACAGTAACCTGTCCCTTAGACTTCATGAAACTTAGCTGGGTATGCCGTCCTTCAAATGTGCAGCAAAGTGCTTTTGCATTGGGGGCAGCAGTCAGGGAGAGGAAGACACATTTCATTGTTTTGTTTTTGGTCTTTAAATTGTATCAAGCCCATTCGTAGCATTAAGCCCCATTTATGTTTGAGTGTGACTTGGACTTGGACAGGGCCAGAAGACCAAAGCCTCAAATCAACAGAAATCTGGTTTGGTTCTCAAAGTGTTACTTGTCTCTTGCAACCTAGAAGGTTAGGAGATGATCCAGTTTGTACACTGTCTTCTGTTAGATCCATTCTGTTGCAAAGGAAGTTTGGGTTTATTTAGGGCACAGCAGGAATGAGGGTCGTGTGACAAATAGGTTTGAATCCACTTGGTCCTGAGAAGTTAAATAGCTGCAATTAATTTAATTGGAGGCAATATTTGGACATGCTTTGAAATCAACGCTATATTGTCCAGCCAGTGAATACAATGTTGCCTCCAGATAAGTTAGAAAGAAGTAATGACTGGTGTATGAAGTTGTGTGGGTAGAAGTAATGTTTTAGGGAGAAAAAATTAAATTCTTATTCTTTCATTAAAGGGGAATTGTTTTAGTAGGAATAAGGATCAGAAAATCTCTCCACCCTCTTTTGTTCTGACCAAGTGTGATCTGCCGCTGCTATTGCTATATTGTTTTTGGCACTTGTCTTGAACTAATTTTATTAATAAGACTTGTTATTTATGGCACGGGTTCTCTTTGTAATTTGCAGACATTGTTATCAAGTCCCCTGATAACCTGGCAGGTGGCTGGTGCCATTAGCATGATCTCGTCATTGGGGAAACTGAGACCCCTTGAGGTTCAGTGAGTTGCTGATTTCATAATCCATGAGAACAGCATCCCAGATGTGCACAGCTCTCGATGTTATTGTCACAGCGAAGTTATAGCCTGAGGTCAAAGGGAAAGACATCCAGTGACTCCTTGCTTGGTTCTGGAACTTGGGGAGAGAGCTCTGTGGAATAGCAGATATGCAAGAGTTGCCAAGGAAAGAGCTCTTGAGTCAACCTTAAGGAGTGGATGCAAAAAGTGAGATTGGTTTGTGATGTGAAAGAAAGGGATATGGAAGGTTCAGGAGATCTCATATTGAGGGGACTTGCCAGGCTACCTTTGTCTTTAAGTAAGTGTTGGGTGAGACTACCATCAAAGATCGTTACTGCCTTTACTGCATGAATATACCACTTGTGTTTACATTGTTTATGCTGGTGCGTGTGTGTTTGCATCCGCACGTGCGTGCAGCATGCTTGTAGTTCAATTCACGTGTCCAGCAAGCCATATACTTACCCCTCATAAGACTTGCGTTTAGCCTGACGCATCATACTGAATGAAAGTATAATGGAGCAATTTACAATCTAAAGCTTTGTTCTTAGATATTTTTGCATATTTTAAGAAAAGGAACAGTATAACTTTTGAAGAATTCCTAGTTCAATATGTCAAAATGAGAAATAGACATGCTAACAGTTAACCAGCTTTTGAAGTTCTTTTAAACTACTCTCCACAGAGTATTAGAATGTCTGAGTCCAGTGTCAGGAGTAACTTCAATTCATATGTCTTATTTTTGGGGTAGCACCTGATATGATAACATTTGTGGCAGAATTTCTCTTTTTTGGTTTATTTGTTGTGCAAAATCTCAGCATCTTAGAAGCAATTTCTGGGACCTCATAAGAAAGCAATAGGGTAATGATCTTCTAATGATTCCTCAGTCTAAACCCTAAAAACTATATTCCCCTTGAGCTAAAACAGGAGTTCTCTTACCTTAATAGAATCAGCAAGTAACTCAGGCCCATGTGCCCTCATGACCTCCCCAGGACACTGCATTTTTATCGGTTCACCCCACCTTACCCATTTCTGATTCTGCGCTGTCCGTTTCTCTCTGGAAATGTCATGAAAGGAACAACAACAAAAAGATGTTGGATGTCTCTGAAAAGTTAGGCATTGATGTAAGAAAAGGAAGAAAAGGGATCATTGCATCAATTGTGGAGGGTATGTAGATATTTGGGTTTTTCCTCCAATAGCAAAATCAGAGTCAGAGAATCTTGGAAAAGTGGCTGCTAAAAAATCTGATCTTGTGGGGAAGGGCGTGCTGGATTTTATCTTGAGGTGTTCATTCCAGCCATAATCAGACTGAAGTACATCAGTAGTATTTTCCATTTTTAGTTGTTGTTTTTCCCAGAAAATTTCATCTCCAGAGTTGGTACAATAGCTCTTGGAACTTTGGGCTTTGGAGTCACGATTGCACACAAAGGCCAGACGGTTTCAATGCTCTCTTCTGCAAAAAGTTTTCTGAATCAGCATAAATCCAGCTTATCAAAAATTCTCTTCACAGCAGTTTCATTTTAGTTCCCTAAATCCATCAGCTGCCACCCTTTCCGTTGTCTCATGGAATCAGCACATCCTTCTCTTATAAGGAATAATTTAGACACACCCTTACATTGGAAGTAACCAGCTCTACCACCAGTGGCATTATTTTAAAAATCCCTATCACTGTTCCTCTCTTACGTTTACAGAAGATGGTCAGAGCTGGTGCTACTGTTTAGTACATTGCACTAATGCTTATTTGGGGGGCTAATGAGTGTGTGTGTGCGTTCAGTTATGTTTGTTTTTTGTTTTGGTTTTGTTTTGTTTTCAGATGGAGTCTTGCTCTGTCACCAGGCTGGAGTGCAGTGGTGCAATCTCGGCTCACGGCAACCTCTGCCACCCTGCCTCAGCCTCCCAAGTAGCTGGGAATACAGGCACGTGCCACTACGCCCAGCTAATTTTTGTATTTTTAGTAGAGACGGGGTTTCACCATGTTGGCCAGTATGGTCTCGATCTCCTCACCATGTGATCCGCCCACCTCAGCCTCCCAAAGTGCTGGGATTACAGGCGTGAGCCACCGCCCCCGGCCTCAGTTCTTAACTGTATCAGTGGAAATTGGGCATTTTCCTCCCAAAGAGAAACATTGTTCATCTTCCACTTGAAGATGGAAGTCACTGCTAAGAATAAAAGTCACAGTTGTTGGAAAGTAATAGAGGACTATGGGGGATCCGGTTCAGTTCAGGGGCCTTATTACTACCAAATAATCAAGAAGAAATGAGTGGTAGTCTCAGTTTGAGTCAAATCAAAACCTCTCTACAGATGTACCAGCATAATTAATTCTAATTCAGAGAAGTTCCTTGTAGGCTCTAGCTTGTTAGGAAGGGCGATCTCTACACTGTGTGATGTTTTCTGGCTTTTTGTTTTAAAGGTAGAGCTCCAGCCATTCAATGATGCAATACAAGAAGAAACGTGTTGTCTGTGGTCAGGAGCATTGGTACATCCATACCCTTTGCCCCAAACTCTGACTTACATTCACATGTTCCTTTTTGCTCCTGCCTTCTTAGCAATTATTTGCCAATCCGTGGCTACTGCGTATGTTTTGCTTGCATACACTCACTACATTAACTCGCTGCTCATGTTGAGCACTCCCCGGACCCTGGTTGTATAAGCAAATCGCTGAGTGAGTGTAGCAGACCGCACTCCAACATGGATCTGTTTAGACTTCAGAAACCTGAAAAACCAGCCAAGCATGGTGGCGTGTGCCTGTGTTCCCAGCTGCTCCAGGAGGCTAAAATGGGAGGATTGTTTGAGTTCAGGAGTTGGAGGTTACAGTGAGCTATGATTGCACCATTGCGCTCCAGCCTGGGCAACAGAGGGAGAACCTGTCTCTAAAAAAATAAAAATAAAGGAAAAAAAAGAAAGAAATCTGGAAAACCCCAGTGGTCTAAAGCACAGTGTCGCTTGTTAGGCCCACCTGTGTCAAAACTTTTCTTAGTCTGTGCTGTGGTATGGCCCCTCTTCCTCAGTTAGTAATGCATTACCAACCTTAAAGTCCGGAGTCCTGGTCCTAATGCAGAATCCCAAACCTTTTAATGATATTTTGCACTTCAAATTAGCCAAAACCTCTCCCTGCACACTTGAAGCTACCACTCCACAATTTCCTGTGGGATTAGCCTGTTCATTGGTGATGCAGCCTTCTTTGCAGGGTTTTTGCCTTTCTTTGTCCTTGCTGTATGGGGAACGCATGGGAAAAAAAACAAAAACGGCAGGTAATGGGGAATTAGATTGATAATGCATCACAGGGAATGGAAATAATAATCGGCGAGTTGCCAGGCTGTGCCATTCATAACCAGAAAATGTACCATTACGCTCTCGCCACATGCCTGGGAAGAAGTATATAGATGTGATAAAACCCAAACTAGGAAGCCAGACAGTGTGGGTCCTCCAGAGCTAGACGACATACCTACCAATAGCCGGAGAGTCTAGCGCTGGCTTGCCCATCTCCCGACTCCCACTGGCCAGCCCTGCTAAGTATCTGATATTTATTTCTCTGTTGCCCAGAGAGAGAGAGAGAGAGAAGGAGAGATGGGAGGGTGATGAGGACATGAAGTAGACACTGATGGAGCACAATGGGGAGCAGTGTTCGGCCTTCTCAATCCCCTTTTATTGGGCTGCTTGAGTGTTTTGTAACAGAAGAACTGCAGAGTGACCAGTAGCACAGATGTAGCCTGCAGGTCTTGGCAGGAGGGGAGAACCATGTACAGAAGGCAGTTGTAACAAGGGCTACTGTTAGCAAGGGCTGCAGCCACGGCTGCAGGGCTGCCCATCACAGTCAATGCCTGGTGCAGTCTACAAACCACGTGCATATGTGATCTGGGGGTTATCCAGCCAATCAAACATTTTAGAGAGATGGTGCTTTAGGAATGAAAGGGGGTATCTAGATCATTTTTGCAAATGAGGAAGAGCTTACAGGCATTGAGGGACCTCGCCCTGGTCTCAGCTGCTGCGCCAAGGCTGGTGTCCCTGCCTCCTGATGTGGATCTGTGTGGTGCAACCTGGCATGGCAAACAGAGAGGGGAGGATGGCGCCATCTTGCCCTGGGTTTGGTCATCTAACCAGCTCTGCCACTGCTTATGTGGCCTTGGGTGAATTACTGAGTCTCTCTGAGCCTTGGTTGCTTTATTTATAAGTGACATTCGGAGGAGCAAATTAGTTAATATCTGTGAAACGCCTAACTCTCAAAAAGTATGGGAGACTCTTTTTTCTGGAGAGATGGGATCTTGCTATGTTTCCCAGGCTGGTCTCGAATTCCTGGCCTCAAACGATCCTCCTGCCTTGGCCTCCCCAAGCCCTGGGATTACAGGCATGAGCTACTGCATTAGGCAAGGAGACTTCTCTAGAATAAGAGATTTTGTCTTTGCATTTCCCCCTCTCCAACCTTGTTTACTTATATTACTGGAAGGCTCAACGATGCTAACTTTGGGGGGATATGATCCCATCGAGGTAGAAGAAGCCAGCTGGCTGTAGAAGTGGAGGTGCTACTGAAATAAATGGTGCATCCTCACTTATAATACTGAAATCAATTTTATAGACAGAAAGTAGTATACGTGGACAAATGTTAGCTCTGATATTTCACAAGTGTCACCTAGCCTTCCAGAAAGGGTTCTGCAGATAAAGTCATGACCCTAGCCATTCTTACCTTGTTGGGAACAGGGAAGATTTGTGAAGATGGCAGGTGGCAGGATGTAATAGAGTCTTCTAGCTGTGAAAAGGAATTAGGGTCTATCACTGGGAGCAGATGAGAGAGCCCAGGGCTCTACTACATCTGGGTCTCCAGCGAGTCCTGGAACATTAAGGTAGAGAAGGTCGGTGGGGGGAAGGGAAGGAAGAAAAGACAGATGACTTTGCCTTTGACCCAGTGGATTATATTACCAATTTCTAAGAATTTCTGAAATTCTTTAATTTTCAAAAAAGATCAGAAAAAGCTTTTATCTTGAAAATTCTAGAAAAGATGTAAGAATTACCAAGATTATCTCAATGAATGGCAATTGCATCCTTTTCTGAACAAAAAAGGCAACACTGTAATCACCCCATAATGTTCTTTGTCTACTTCCCATTTATTGCCATTAATTAGGAAGATTTTCAACTCCTATTTTTATTTATTATATTCCACCCAAGTCATTAATGCAACAAGTTAATGGCAGAAATAAGCCTAGATCCTGAATATACAGGATGCCTTTTAGGGAGTGTGTGTGTGTGTGTGTGTGTGTGTGTGTGTGAGTGTGTGTGTGAGTGTGTGTGTGTGTGTGTGAGTGTGTGAGTGTGTGTGTGAGAGTGTGTGAGAGTGTGTGTGAGCGTGTGTGTGAGTGTGTGTGTGTGTGTGTTTCTTTTCCATTGCATCAACCACTCAACCACCGTGAAAATATTGGGATAGTTTCCTTGTAGTTCGAGAAGTCAACGTGTCAATTTGCATAATGTTCATCGAAAAAATTTTAAGCACTTAATAACCTTCTAAATGTTAAATAAAGTCAGAACGAGAGATCATCTGTCTTCTGGAGACTGATTAAACAGGCACACACAGGCAGCAGAAGAAAAACATTAGGCAAATATGCAAACAGGGAGAGTATTTATAGAACATTATATCTGCATCCAAGACTAGGATATATTTTCAGTGAGCCCTAAGGGACAGCGTATGGCCATCTTTTGCCTAGACAGGGCGGAGTGTGTCTGTCATTTGATGGAGAAATTATAAGCTGGTATTTGTTTGTGGTTCCTTCCTTACTTTATTGTGGAAAATATGGCTTTTGTCATCCACAACAATTTAGTTCATTTGCCTTCCTGTTCCTAAAGTTGTAAATTAGTCGATAGAGATTTTGTGCCATGCAGAGATCTGCAACTTCCAACTGGGAAAGATATCCAAATACTCAGAGAATACGAGAATAGTATGCAAAAACACAGTGCTTTGTTTCTTGGTTTTTTTTGTTTGTTTGTTTTTTGAGACAAAGTCTCACCCTGTCACCCAGGCTGGAGTGCAGTGGTGCAATGTCAACTCACCACAACCTCCGCCTCCCAGGTTCAAGAAGTTATCCTGCCTTAGCCTCCCGAGTAGCTGGGATTACAGCCACGCACCACTACACCCAGCTAATTTTTTTGTATTTTTAGTAGAGACGGGGTTTCAGCATGTTGGCCAGGCTGGTCTTGAACTCCTGACCTCAGGTAATCCACCCGCCTCAGCCTCCCAAAGTGCTAGGATTACAGCCGTGAGCCAACGCACCTGGCAGAGCTTTGTTTCTTAAGCAGCTAGATCCTCCTTTGCTTCTTGCCAATGAAACTGACCACGCTCCTAGAGAACTGACAAAACTCAACTAAAAAATTCCATAAACTGGCTGGGTGCAGTGGCTTATGCCTGTAATCCCAGCACTTTGGGAGACCGAGGCGAGAGGATCACTTGAGGACAGAAGTTCGAGACCAGCCTGGCCAACAAGGCAAAACCCCGTCTCTACAAAAAATACAAAAATTAGCCAGGTGTGGTGGCATGCACCAGTAGTCCCGGCTACTTGGGAGACTGAGGTGGGAGGATTGCTTGAGCCCAGAAGGCAGAGGTTGCAGTGAGCCGTGATAGTGCCACTGCACTCCAGCCTGGGTGACAGAGCGAGTGTGTCTCAAAAAAAAAAAAAAAAACCAAAAAATTATACTGTGGCTTTTGGTTTTGTATTGGATGTAGATAAAAGTCAATACACCAGTGTTCATTTGTAGGAAAGATGGGGTGGAGGAACTCAAGTATCGTGGCTTGCCCTGCTGGCTGGGCAGTGAGGATGAAGAGGGCACATGGCATCTGTCCTGTGCCTTCCCAGCAGAACTTTCCTGAAGGAGCCTGTCCGTCCATCTGGTTTTGAAATGGCTGATTCTGGGTTTGGCTACTTACCAGTGTTCCCTAAATACTATTCCCCAAAGCAGCCTCACTGGGTAGGATTCCAGAGCTTACAAATGCTTTGCTGTTTCCCTTTGTGATTACTGGTCCCACCTGTGGTTTTCTCATTACTCCTCTTCCTCTTCCTCCTCCAAGGCTCAGACCTCATTGTCCCATGATGTGACTCACCATGCCTGCCTCGAGCTTCCTCTTTCTGCGTTGCTCGGAGTCAGCTGTTCTTCAGCTAATCTTTCCAATCAAATTTCTCCAATGCCTCGGTCCATACATTGTCTTCCCACATTCTTTTAGGGTGAGGTGCTGACTGCCATTGTCATAGTTTAGGGGCTCTCTTTCCTGAGTCATTATAAAATCATCACAGCTTATCCTTTGGCCAGCTTCCTATACCCCTGACCACATCCACAACCCCCACCTCAGCACCCTGCATTCTTCGTAGACCACAGTCCTTAGCATGGAAGAAAAAGCCCGTCACAATCTAGAGGCTTCTTATTTCTTAAACTTCTTTTCTTATGTTAACCATCACACACACACACACACACACACACACACACACACACACACACACACACCCTTGCCTCTCCCCAAGCACATTTGACCTCATCTGGACTTCAGCCTTTGCAATTGCTCCCTTCACATTGCCATTCCCCTCCCATCCCTTTCCTGCCTGGGACGCACCTACTCATTCTTTACTTGGAGCCTCCAGTGTTCCCTGCTCCTGTTCCTCCAAGCAGAAGCGAGTTCCTCTCCTCTATTCTCCAGAAGCATGCGTGCTGGAAGGCAGTCGCAGTTCGATCCTATGGACAGTGACGACCTGTTCACATGCCTCCCACCGTCGCTTTTTAGGGGTAGGACCGTATCTTCTTTGTCGTTGACAGCACAGCACCCAGCGTTATCCCTGGCATTTGGCAGGTGCTCAGAAATGTAACTGAGGAACTCATTGTCACGTTGTGATTTCTCCTTTTTTGACTTGTCTGCGCAGATCTCTAGGGACTGTTTCCTGCTCCAGCCCAGGGCCCCTACCTATGGTCAGCTCTTCTCTCTGCTAGGGAGCTCTGCTTTCTCTCTCTGCCTGTTTCTATGTCAAATGGGAAGAGAATAAGGATAGTGTGACAACTCTCTTTCTCTCTCTGTCTCTCTCTGGCCCATTCTTGCTCTGTCACTCAGATTGGAGTGCAGTGGTGCAATCATAGCTCACTGTAGCCTTGAACTCCTGGGCTCAAGTGATCCTCCCACCTCAGCCTCCCCAGTACCTGGAACTACAGGCATGCACCACCATGCCCAGCTAATTTTTTTTTTTTTTTTTTTTTAGAGATGGGGGTCTCACTAGATTGCCTTGGCTGGTCTTGAACTCTGACCTCAAGCGATCCTCCCACTTCAGCCTCTCAAAGCTCTGGGATTACAGGTGTGAACCACCACACCCAGCCCTCCTTTTTTTCGTATAAAAAATGCTACCCTGGCAAACCCCAGCTGGCAAATGGCAGAAGTATTTGAGTGCCACAAGTTCATTCATTAATTCATTCATGCACCCACCCATTCAATCATTCAACACATACCTATTGGTATGCCTTGAACATTCCAGGAATGTGGCAGTGAGAAAAACCAACCAAGTCTTGCCCCTGGGGAGCTTGCATTCGAAGAGGAAGGGGCAGACAATCCACATGATCCATAAGTAAGTGACAGAGGATGCTAGAAGCTGGTAATTACTACAAAGAAAAACAAAGCAGAGGAAGGGAAGTGTGCTAAGTTGCTCTTTTAAACACAGGGGTCTTGTAGACCTCGGGAAAGGTGATCATTGAGCAAAGACTGAAAGGATGTGAGGAGGTAAGCCAGGTGGGTGTCTGGACGTGGTGAGTATTCCAAGCAGAGGGCAGAATTCATCAAAGGCACTGAGGCAGAAGTGTGGCAGGGAACAAGAGAGGTTGCACCCAGGAGAGGTCCCAGAGCCATGTGGTGCAGGGTGAGGACTGGTGGGAGTCACATGGGCCTTTAAGGCTCTACCCTGGGGGGCTCTCCCCATTGTGGAGCTGGGGAGCCCCTGGTCCCACGGAGGCCATGCAGAAATGGTTTGGGTGCCGTGTGGGTGAGATTGCAAGGTGGGCAGAGTTGGAAGCACATTTGCAAGAATCCAGACAAATGATGACAATGATGATGATGACGGTGATGAAAAGTGTTCAGGTTCTGGATATTCTGAAGACAGAACCAACAGGATTTTCTGAGGGTTCAGTGTGGGATATGTGATAAAGAGAAGAGTCCAGAATTTGGGGCCAAAAGAGCACAAAATGGAGATGACGAGGCAGAGCTACCATTACCTGGGAGGGGAAGCTGTGATCTGGGGAAAAGTGAGATCAGGAATTCCGTCTGGGACTCGCTGAGCTTGGGATGTTTAACAAGGGACCAAGTGAGGTGTGGAGAGGGCAGTTTTGAGCATAATTCTCTACAAACCTGGGTCAGGGGACACCACAGTGGAGACACAGAGTTGAAGCTCACCCATGTACAAACGATGCTTAAAGCACAAAAGACTGCCAACTCCAGGGTTCAGAACTGAGTATGATGACATCTGGGAAAATGCATAAGCACCAAACTTCAAATAATAAGAATATAATGTATGAAAAACAGCCAAGCGTGGTGGCTCACACCTGTAATCCCAGCAACTTGGGAGGCTGAGGTAGGAGAATCGCTTGAGGCCAGGAGTTTGAGAGCAGCCTGGGTCAAATAGTGAGACCCATCTCAAGAAGAAGAAGAAGGAGGAGGAGGAGGAGGAGGAAGGGAGGAGGAGGAGGAAGAAGGGGAAGGAGGGGGAGGGGGAGGGGGGAGAAGGGAGAGGAGGAGGGAGAAGGGAGAAGGGAGGAAGAGGAGGAGCAGGAAAAGGAAGAGAAAGAAGAAGGAGGAGGAAGAGGAAGGAAAGAAAAGAATTCCTCATTGTGTGAAAAGTTCTGTTGAGATGTGCCATTGTACAAATTGAATCCTCAATGTCATGCTCCTGATGGTGTCTTTTTGATAACTTGGAAGAAATGTCTCTCTTTTATTTTATTTTATTTATTTGTGGGGAGATGGGGTATCACCCTGCTGCCCAGGATGGAGTACAATGGTGCCATCATGGCTCACTGCAGACTCAAACTCCTGGGCTCAAGTGATTCTCCCACCTCAGCCTCCTGAGTACCAGGGACTACAGGCCCATGTCTCCATGCCTGGCTACGTTTTTTAAAAGATTTTTTTTGTTTGTTTTTGAGAGATGGGGTCTTGCTGTGTTGCCTAGGCTGGTTTTGAACTCCAGGCCAAAGCACTGGGATTACCACCACACCCGGCTAATTTTTGTATTTTTTTTTAGAGATGGGGTCTCACTGTGTTGCCCAGGCTGGTCTCAAACTCTTGGCTTCAAGCAATCCTCCAGCCTTGGCCTCACAAAGTGCTAAATCTCATATTTAAATAGATTTATTAATATATCATTGACATACAATAAACTATGCTTATTTAAAATATACTGTTGGATATGTCTTGATATGTGACTATACCTGGGAAACCATCACCACAATCAGGAATTGTAACTCTGTACTTTTATACTTTTAGTCAATCATTTGTGTGATGCTCAGGACTAGACATGAGGAAGGATATAAAATGTCATCACTGTCCCTGCCTCATCTGTCTGTCCTGATTTAAAATTCTGGCTTTCCAATACTATTATCTAGTCACAGACTCATTTCCAGGTTCCTTCCTTCCTTCCTTCCTTCCTTCCTTCCCTCCCTCCCTCTCTCTTTCTCTCCTTCTCTCTTTCTCTCTCTCTCTCTCTTTCTTTTCTTTCTATGTTTTGTGATGGAGTCTCGCTGTGTCGCCCAGGCTGGAGTGCAGTAGCGTGATCTCGGCTCACTGCAACCTCCGCCTCCCGGGTTCAAGTGATTCTTCTGCCTCAGCCTCCCGAGTAGCTGGGATTACAGGTGCTCACCAGCATGCCTGGCTAATTTTTGTATTTTTAGTAGAGACAACGTTTTGCCATGTTAGCCAGGCTGGTTTCAAACTCCTAACCTCAGGTGATCTGCCCGCCTCGGCCTCCCAAAGTGCTGGGATTACAGGTGTGAGCCACCATGCCTGGCTTTATTTCCAGGTCTTTTCTGAAGGTTTTGCTAAAAATACACTGCACTTTGGTTATCAAAGGGTTTGGTGTGACATGGTGAGCTGCTTGCAGCAGTGTCACTGGTTAAACCAGGAAAGTGCAAAGATCAGGAGCCCAGCCAGCTTTTAAGCAGCTCAGATCCAGGCAAAAACATCTCTCTCCTTCCTTCTTTCATGGAAACAGCCCAAACACTAGGCTCTATTTCAGCTTTTTTTTTTTTTTTTTTTTTGCTACAAGTAGTCAACACAGTAATTACCTCCTGCTGAAAGCTTTGAGAAATTGTTCTGTGTCCAATTAGAATTTTTGATTTGACTAACAGATACAACATAACATCTTTATTTCTGTAACTGCTCACTAATGATATGCACCCTGGATATATTTAGACTCTCGTTTGCCGGGGCCATTGCACTGTAAGGTGCTACGTTACTGTCTGTGACAGCATTTCCACCAAGAGGCTTGATGAGGATGGGGGTGGGGAGACTTTTGGGTTTGGGAGTCCTCTCCCTCGCTCTTTCCACCCCTCTCAGGCCTGACCTTCCATGCCCAGGCTTACATGGGGAGCAGCTCTAGGACTTATCCCCTCCTGGGAGCTCCTGACACTGGACCAGGCGCCCAGGGGCAGATCTCCATGAAGTGTCTGGGATGGTTCATGGGGCAGCCAGCCAGTGTCAAAACCTCCCCCAGGAAGAATGGAAGGAGGGATCTGCCAGCACAGCTCATGCAAGACCAAGAAGTCCCTGCCAGCGACATTCCAGCAGAACCCTTTCCAAAGTACTTGGTTATGTAAACAGAAAGGCGGTAGCCTCTAGCCCAGATGGACTGCTCCGTGTGGATGTCAAAGTCACTGTGGAAACTTCCCCCTATGGAAGCACTACGGGTCCCCAAGCTCTCCCTGCAGCTCTGTATTGGAATGGGGAGGGTTGGGGACTTCTTTTTGACCTCATGGAACTGGGACCTCCGTGTAGGACTGGTGGTTCTCTAGTTCTCGAGCGTCCCTGTTTCTCAGATGTGTCTTGCTCCGATGCCACTAGAGGTTTGATCTGATTTAAGGGTGTCACTGGAGTCAGCTGTCGGTGTGGAGTGCTTCCTGCTAAACGTGGCAGGACTTGGCATCTGAGCATGTGGACCTTGGATTTAGGCACTTAGTACAGGAGTGCTTTGTATCCAACACAGGTTTAGCAAAGCAGGTGGCCTGGCAGGACATACTAACCTCATAGGTGGCCATTTTCCTACTGTATGTCAAGAGCCACCAAAGACCCAAGGGTGGAATTTGGAAAACTTGCAGGTGGTCTAGAATACTATTTTCTGCTCCACACCTCCCTGGGAGGCAATGGAGATTATGACTATAGTAGTATACAAAGAAGATTGTTTATGACAAGGAGAGCCCATTCCCCAACTCTTATCTATGTGGCTTCACCCATCACTGAGGGCAGATCCACATTGATTCTGCTTGTCACATAGGTATGTGAATGACAAATAATGCATGTGTTCCTGAGACTGGCTTTTGGGGCATATTTCTACAGAATAGGCAAATTAAAACATATTTCACTGAATGCAAATTAATTTATATAGTACCTATATTACATAATTGCCCTTGAAATTATATATATAAAGATATATGCTATTTAAATATATATTTATTATTCATATAAAATATTTATTGTGTGCCTATTATGGCAGTCACATCATTCTATTTTAATCACACGTATTATTGTTTTAGTATCAATAAAATGTTTACAACTGTGAAAACTTATTGTATAATAAGACCCATAGTTGTAAATAATACTGTGTCTCCTTCCATTGATCACAACATAAGCAAAATTTTTTTAAAATTTCATTTAAAACGACAGATTAAACTGGACACTGAAACAAAGTAGGCAAATTCATGTTACCAGAAAGTGTTATTAAGGTTCTTGGTTACTGAGCACGTGAATTCTCTACCAAACCAGCAACAGATGCCGGTAACTCTTCTGCACAGAATTACATTTTAAATAGGGGATGTTCGACCACACATTTATATGAGAAAAATTGGTAGCATCAAAAAGTAGAAAAATGCGTTTGTGCCTATCAGTCTGTACTAAAATTTTTGTAAGCTTTCTGAAGCACTGAGTGAACGTTGTAAAAATTTGTTTCACCAAACCACATGTAATATTGTACCAAGGAAACATCACAAGTAAATACATCAGCTATCAGAATGAATATATTTTCTTGGAACTCTTTGTTTCTAGCTGTGCCTATATATCCATGCCTTATACATCACAACTTATTGGAGAGGAAGGGAAGGGATCTTAGAGTCCGTCTGTCCCTGAGTTCTGTAATCCTTTCTACAACTTCCCTTGCTAAAGTCTCTGGTCCCTTCCTGATGATTTGCAGTGATAACGGGGCAACCCATTCCATTTTGAGCAATGATGCTTGTTCAAAAGTTCTTCCTTCCATTGAATCCGAATGTATCTTCTGGAATTTCCCCTCATTGGGTCTATTTTTTGCCCACCAAAGCAAAGTTAACCCACCTTCACTTTATACACATCAGATTAGCAAGTTCCCCCGAACCCCCATTTGGGTAAGCCCAGGACAGTCCTAGTTTATACCTGTTCTCTCTATATAATCAATAATAGCCTCCCTTTTGCCTCACAAGTATCTGGTATGGCCAGTAGGTTGTATGGTCACGCTACCACTAGAGCTTGTGATATGTAGGCCACCGATGCAGCTTTTCCCTCAGTCCTGGGAAGTACTGGTTTCTGGACCTTCACCCGGTCTAGTTATCCTTCTTTGGTCTCTCTCCCATTTCTTTCATTTTCTTGTATAAAATATGGTACCCACAATTGAATACAGATTTCCAGAAGCAGTTTAACCACAGTAGAATGCAGGGCACCTCTTAATTCCCTTATTCCGATGCTGGGCTTCTAGCACGTGCGTGAAGAGTACGACACAAAACTGTAAACAATATGACCCCAACTTTGACATTTGAAGCTACCATCCGAACCTCTTTGCCCTCTGTAAATCTGATATGCATGCCTGCTATGTCCCTTTACAAATCACTGGGGGGAAATACATGGATTGAGGAAGACAAGTTCTACTTTAATATCACTTTGCAGTTTTCCAAGTGCTTGTGGATCTTGCTGTTGCAGCCCTGTCTCCAGACTCCCCTCATTTTGGCCTCATGATGAAATTGACTTGAAAACAGTGCTCAGTGGCTATTTCCTATTTCAAGCGATTTAGCCATCCTCACTCAGACGATTAGCTCCCCCTTCTTTGTTTTCATAAAGACGGTGTCCAGCTGTATTTCTCACTGCTTCCTTCTCATCCGCCACGGTGTCCTTCAGCTCTTTGCCTGGGTGACATTTCCAGAACATTCTATGTTCTCTCCCATTTCATCCCTTCTTACCTCATGTTGCTGTGTTCTGCAGATATCACTCCTTCCCTGGGGTATTGACGGATCCACCAGGTGTGAGTTAGGGTGTCCCCCCGTCCCCATCCCATAGCATCTTATACTCACCCCTGTAGTCACACTGATCACTCTGCAACAGCCTGTTAACTTGGGTATTTCCTCTACAGAACATAGAAGTTCCTTAAGTATAGGAGCAAAATCACATTCATCATTATATACCTAATAAGATCCCTGGCACATAATAAAGATGCTATAAGCACTTGAGTGAACACATTGTGGTGAACATTACTGTGAATAATTCTTTATTCTATTTCTCTTGTTTCGATGGGGAAAATTCCTAGAAGAGAAATGACAGAGTCCAAGGATCTGGACTTTTTAGCTGTTTGCATTCTATTTCCTGGAAGGTGTTAGTGGTCTTCTAATTAAGTTGTAATTATCTACTAACTAAATGATTTTATCTTTAATATAGTAATTCCCATTATAGTTGTTACAATACCTTCCTGAAATTTACATTAACTTTTTACTTTTGCTTATGGGGCCTTGTGGAGTATAATTTATTGTTTAGAATGATCTTTATGGTAGTCAAATCCATAGTTTTTTCCTTTTTGGCTCATTCATTGCTTTTAGGCTTAGAGAAACATGGTAAATAATCATCTACCTGGTTTTAAAATTTAACTTTATAAACTACCTGGGATTTATTTTGGGGAGAGAGTGCAGTTCATTTATATTCCTTTCATTTCCCTCTTGATTGAGAAGAGTGAAACAAACAGAAGCTGAATTGTTCAGCAATTCCTCTTTTTTTTTTTTTTTTTTTTTTTGAGACAGTGTCTCACTCTGTCACCCAGGCTGGAGTGCAGTCGTGCAATCTCGGCTCACCACAACCTGCGCCTGGCAGGTTCAAGCGATTCTCCTGCCTCAGCCTCCCAAGCAGCCGAGACTACAGACGTGTGCCAACAAGCCCAGCTAATTTTTGTATTTTTAGTAGAGACGAGGTTTCACCATGTTGGCCAGGCTGGTCTCAACTCCTGACCTCTGGTGATCCATCTGCCTCGGCCTCCCAAAGTGCTGGGATTACAGGCATGAACCACCACACCCAACCAGCATCTACTTGCTTCAAACAATATTTCCATTCCCTTCCTTGCTCTTCTTGCTTTGAACATATCTTTAAAGGTTCTTTTATTGTCCTTAGACTTTCCTTGTTTTAAATATCAGTGTCATGACTAGGTACGGTGGCTCAGCCTGTAATCTCAGCACTTTGGGAGGCCAAGGTGGACAGATCACCAGAGGTCAGGAGTTGGAGACCAGCCTGGCCAACATGGTGAAACTCCATCTCTACTAAAAATACAAAAATTAGTGGGGCATGGTGGCTGGTGCCTGTAATCTCAGCTGCTCGGGAGGCTGAGGCACAAGAATCACTTGAACCTGGGAGACAGAGGTTGCAGTGAGCTGAGATCGTACCATTGCACTCCAGCCTGGGCGAAAGAGCGAGACTCCGTCTCAAAAATAAATTAACTAATTTAAATAAATAAATGTCAGTGTCAGCTTTCCAACTCTCTCCCTGTAAACTTGTAGTGCACGAAAAATGCTGGAAATATTCCTCATACACACTTTGTTCTACTACAATCTAGTCTCCTTTGCGAGTTCTCCAGCACACATCCTGTGTTCTTCATGTCTCAATCTTCACTTCCTCATTTAATTTTATCATGTGATCAAAATTTTACGTTTAAAGTCACCATCCCATATGAACTATATTTTTTTAGATCCAGAGAGTCAAACTTATCTTTTTTTTTTTTCAGCCTTATCTTTTTTTCTAGGCTTTTAAAAACTGTCTGTCTGGGGTCTCCATCTAACTATTCTTTTATTTTTTTATTTTATTTTATTTTTTTTGAGACAGTGTCTCTCTCTTTTCACCCATGCTGGAGTGCAGTGGTGTGATCTAGGCTCACTGCAACTTCCACCTCCTGGGTTCAAGTGATTCTTCTGCCTCAGCCTCCCAAGTAGCTAGGACTATAGGCGTTCACCACCATGCCCGGCTAATTTTTGTATTTGTAGTAGAGATGACGTTTCACCGTGTTGGCTGGGCTGGTCTTGAACTCCTGGCCTCAGCTGATCTGCCCCCCTCCGCCTCCCAAAGTGCTGTGAGTCACTGTGCCCAGGCTCCATCTAACTATCCTTTTCTACTCTAAAAATTCCAAGTACAGTCATCAAAACAAAAGAAAAGGTAGATACTTGCCTTTCCCTTTGAAAAAAGCCTCTCATTCTACTCCAAACAAACAAACGAACAGACAAAAATATAAACAACCTCTGTCACTCATACTGAAGCCAGAGCTCCATGTGGCAAAGAACAGGTGTTATTTTCCATCTTTCCTCACTGTTCCCCCAGGGAACAGTTGGATGTTAGGTAGGTGTGTACTTTCTGGCCACTTCTTGCATGTTCTGTTTCTTTGGGGTTTACACCTCTCCCAGCTGCCCTTGCAGAACGTCTGCGTGAACGCATGTGCTGTGAATAAGAATTACGTGCATGCGTAAGAACCTGGACATTTTCCCACACATCGTGCATGGGTATTCCTAAACCTCCTTTCTTAGGCCAGCTCCTGTATTTCTTACATCTGCTCTCAACGTAATGAGTGCGGGTGCCACAGGATGGCCCTGGGAACCAGTTACTGGGAAAAAGAGCTGGGCTTCTAAGCGTCCTGTCTGAACGAAGTACCCTCCTCAACAAATGACCAGTGCCCCCAGAGCTTCATTTTGTGAAGGCCTGGCACTTGCTCAGTCCCTGAAGACAGCCATCCCAATGCCACCTGCCCAGAATTAGCCTCCTCACCCATCCAGAGCCACAGGAGACCTGGCATGAGGGGACAGAGACCTGCAGCGCCCCCGGGCCTTCCTATAGGAGCAGGGAGCAGCAAATCAGATCAGGGCCTGACTCCACTGTGTGTAGGCGGCAGTCAGTGGTTCAGCATTCAGCGTTCTGCACTTTTTATGTGCAGCGTTCCTCATCACAACTCTACGAGGTAGGAATTGCTGTCATCTCTGTTTTATAGATTACGGAAGGAGGCCACGTTGGTGAAGTAACTTCTGGAGGATCACACTCAGCTAGGAAGTGGTGAAGCCAGGATAAGCCACAGCCCCGGGTGGCCGAGCTCTGGAGCCTGGCTCTGACCCACCGTAAGCCCCGGCGGTGTGGCTCAGGGAGGGTAGCAAGGGAGGCACAGTGTGTGGCTCAGACCTCTGGGTCCCCAGGTAGCTGGAGGACAGGAGTGGGATGTGTGCCTGGAGCCTCCTTCCCACGCTTGGCATCCCCAGCAGTCCACTGAGTCTGCGAGATGCAAGAGGATCTAACAGCTGTTTAGAGCCCCCTGGCTGTCCCCCGTGCCCTTCTCTGCAGGCCAGGTCTGGAGAAGGCCTGGAGTGGCAGAGCAGGGAGAACCCGGCAGAGTCAGCGGCTTCCTCAGTCTTTTGTACAAAGCTAAACCTGGGGAAGGGGAAGGTGAGGTGGTCTTTATTTTTTTAAGGAAGATGTTCGTGGTTTTATTGTTTCATGAGGCATTGAAACGGATTCTGCACAAATCAGTATCTGTCCAGTGGGGTAGCTGGTTTCTCCTTCACTTCTTTGGGTTACTAGAGCAACTTGTCAGATTTTTTTTAAAAAGGAACAACCATTCCAAGGCATGCACTGTCACAACACAAACTCTTCCTGTCAGAGGCCGCTGGTCCGGTGTCCAGACATCATGCAGGACACCTTGGTGGCAACAGTGCACCGTGTCCGCCCCCACACAGCCCCGTGCATTTGTGTATAGTATCTGGTGTGTCTGCAGAAGCGTGAATAGTATTGGGAAGAGGAGGGAGAAAGAAACAGCGTGAGTGCCTGGCTGGGAGGAGGTCAGTGAAGTCGTGCAGGGCAGGCCTGAACATGTCTGTCATCAGGGCGAACCCAAGCATCCATTATGTCCTTTCATAGGAACATCTGGTGGAGCCCCATAATGGGGTCTTCATTGGCATTTGGCTGGCTCACAAGCATGCTGAGGATGCAGTTAGCTGGTGTGGGCTGACGGTCCTGCACCATGATGCTATGCTGGATTTTGTGGAACAGAAGGCTGGATGGCTTCTTCACAATGGCAGCTTTCCCCTCGAGCTGCTCTCCTTCCCGCCTAAGGCGTGATATGTCAATGTAAATTGTGCTGAGTTGAGTTCTATTGTTATAGAACTCAATAACTGAACGTTGAATGAAGATGGGTCCAGTCATCTCCCACATGGGCTTGCCTCCCGTTCTGGAGTGTCCTCAGCCTCACTGAGACCCAGGAGCTGGCATGATGGCAGTGGCGGCAACCCAGCACGGTCTTGATGTTAGGTGTCCTAGCAGGAGGGGAGGGGAGGGGAGGACGGAGCGTGACAGCCCAGGGTAGCTGCCAGATAGTGCTGTGGACCTGCCTCTCAGGAGGAGAAGGTGTGTGGCATCTTTCTCTCAAGCCAGTAATCAGCAAGAAACAGGACCACGGCTCCTTGGGTCACCTGTGTCCCCAGCACCGGGCTGAATGCATGGCGTAGAGGAGACCACAGCGATGGGCTTTGGACTTTGAGTGAAAAATGTGCCTCCAAGCAAAGGTAACAGCATGGGCCAGGCCCCACGGCAAGGGAGAGGATGGTCCTTGGAGGAACAGACTCTAAAAGTCCCAGGTGGCCCACTCTTGAAACTGAGAGGAGCGATGGGAAGGAGAGTATTTGAAAAAAAGGGATCTGGTGAGGTGAGGCCGATGTCAGAGAGCCTGTTATCCATGTTCAGACAGTCGTCTTTCACAGATGCTAGCAGCAATATGTAAAGAAGGAAGAATCTCACTCTGCACCCACAGCAGGACTGGCCTCTGGGGCCTTCAGGCCTCTGTCCAGATCTGCCCAAGGGCTGCTCTCTGCCACCCATCTCTGTTCCCATTAGCCTCTGCCTCTGTTCAGACTGCACAGCACTCCCTCTCTGATCCAGATTCCCAGCTCCCTTTCCTTTGTAAGGATTAGGCTCTATTCCCTTCCCCAGCCCCTCTCCTAATAATAATGATTAATAATAATAATACAATCCAGTGCTCAGTAGGATTAAGGCTCTGTAGCTCTTCAGAGACTCCGGTTGCTCCAGTTGCAGAACCAAAGATATCCGTGTTTCCAGGCTTGGATGAAAAGTAAAACCTGCAGTTGTGTTGTAAATGAGGGCTTGTGAATAAATCTTCCTAATTGTGTGTATTTCCGGTAGAATAGTGGGTTAAAATCCTGATAATGTACTCGAAATGGAGGTAAAGAAAATCCCGTTTTCAGAAAACACTCTAACAGTGGCAGAACCTAGGAGGAAACAGGTTCCTCCAAATTTTAGGGGTCCAGCTAGTTGGATGTCACCCAGAAAGCGCTGCTGCCCCCCAGGAGCCTGGAGTTCTTTGTACACCTGCCCGCCACCTGTGAGCGGCTTCTGCCCTGTGCTCCCCAGTATGGTGTCCATGGTGCAGGACCTAATTCTGGGGCCCATGCCATTGCGTCTTTCAGCGTCCATCTGCCCTTGTCATTGTAGTCAGAGCGTTGGCTGCCAGGCGTGAGGAGGGTGATTGTGGACCCGCCCCAGCGGAATCTTGGCCTTCCACATCTGTCGCACCTGTCCATCATTCACGCCAGTAGCTTGTTTGGTTGGAAGGTGGAAAGTGCACCCACCTCCCCACATCACACAACTGAGCTGTGGGTAGGAGTTCCTCTTCAGCGAGATGCCATAACGCCCTCAGGAGAGCTTCCTGTTGTACCAGCCTCTTACCTGCCTGGGTCCACGCCTCATCGTCTACACTTTAGGCCCAGAGACTGATTATTAATGTTTTCTGACACGCTGCCCTGTAGCATTCATGTGGAGATGGTTCATTGCTCGGCCTGGAGGACTTGTGGCTTGAATCACATAGACCGCTGGGTCCCCACACCCGGACTTCTCTTTTGCATGATCAGAGAAAACCGAATTTCCTTTTGCTGCATGAGCAGCAGCAGCAGCGTCCCTAGGATGAGCTTTCCAAAGATCCGCAAGTAAAACGCCAGCCCGGGTTATGACTTGAAGTGCAAACCCGCAGAGGGTTGAGCTTTGAAGAATGCATTGCTATTTCCATTTTCTATTACATCAATATTGTCATGTTAATTTGTTTCTAATAGAGCCACTCACTTAATAACTTCCATCTGGTGTATAAGCTGCAGCTGTATCCAGCCACCAAGAACCTGAAGGACACACCTGCATGTGTTTTGTTTTTTGTTTTTTGAGACAGGATCTCACTCGGTTGCCCAGGCGGGAGTGCAGTGGCCTGATCTCAGTTCACTGCAACTTCTGCCTCTTGGGCTCAGGCAATCCTCCCACCTCAGCCTCCCGAGTAGCTGGGACTATAGGCACACACCGCCATGCCCTGCTAATTTTCATATTGTTGTTTTTGGGTTTTGCCATGTTGCCCAGGCAGGTCTCAAACTCCTGAGCTCAAATGATCCTCCTGCCTCTGCTTCCCAAAGTGCTGGCATTACAGTAGTGAGCCGCCGTGCCTGGCCACACCTGCGTATGTTTTTTTAAATCCAGGAGAGTCACAATAAAGACAGGTGGAATCGTTTGCCAGAGGTCATAGAGCAAAATAGGAACAAGGTCATCCTCTCTGAATGAGGCTTCTGGTGTCTCATGCCTGTGTCTCCTTTCCTTCCATCGTCATCTTACTTCAATATGGTATCACTTGAGAACCGAACAAAAGTAAGCTTGAGATAAACCAGAGGGAAAAGTTATCATAAAAATCATATTACAATGATAATAAAAATGGTTATATAAAATTTTTATAAAATAAAAATTTGTATTAAAAATTTTATTAAAAAATTACAATCAACCTTTGGCCTTTAAAGGTTTTGGGTAGATCCCACTTGCCCACTTTTGTAATAAGTGTTATTTCCCTGGTATAAGTGAAGTGTGGACAGGGAATTGATGAATTTTATTTTTGAGATGGGGTCTCACTATGTTGCCCAGGCTGGTCTCGAACTCCTGGGCTCAAGCAATCCTTCTGCCTTAGCCTCCTAGGTAGCTGGGATTACAGGGGTGAGCCACCATGCCCAGATAGGTGAATTAATAAACATATATAGTATTTATTATATATATATTATTTATTATATATTATATTATATATATTATTTATTGTATATTATATATTATTTATTATATATTACATTATATATTATATTATGTATTATTTATTATATATTATATATTATATTATGTATTATTTATTATATATTATATTATATATTTATTATATATCATATTATATTATATATTATATATTATATTATATGTTATTTATTATATATTATATTATATGTTATTTATTATATATTATATTATATATATTTATTATATATTATATTATATATTATATATTTATTATGTATTATATATCATAATTATATCATATACATTATAATAATATATAATATATATTATTTTATATATATTACATATATATCTATATGGGCTGAAAGTGGTGGCTCACATCTGTAATCCCAGAACTTTGGGAGGCTGTGGTGGGAAGATCACTTGAGCCCAGGAGTTCAAGAGCAGCCTGGACAACATGGCGAGTCCCCATATCTACAAAAAATACAAAAATTAACCCTGTGTGGAGATTTGCGTCTGTAATCCCAGCTACTTGGGAGGCTGAGGTGGGAGAATCTCTTGAGCCCCAGGAAGGCAGAGGTTGCAGTGAGCTGTGATCATGCCACTGAACTCCAGCTGGGACCACGGAGTGAGACCCTGTTTCAAAAACATAAAACAAAAAAACAAACAAAAAATATGATTGTGTATATTTGAAGTTTACATCATAACGCTATTGGATACCCATAGATGTGTAGATACATACAGAACCACAGTAGATAAGGAGGATGAACAAGTCTAGAGATGTAATGTACAACATGAGGACTAAAGTTAAAATTGTATTGTGTTAGGGTTTTTTGTTACATAAATAGATTTTAGCTGCTCTAGTCCCACAAAAAAAGTAACCATGTGAGATGATAGACATATTAACTGACTCCACTGTAGTAACCATTACACTATCTGTATGTATCTAATTTTTTTGATTGTTTGTTTTTTGAGACAGAGTTTCACTCTGTTGCCCAGGCTGGAGTGCAATGGCTGGATCTCAGCTCACTGCAACCTCCGCCTCCCAGGTTCAAGTGATTCTCCTGCCTCATCCTCCCCAGTAGTTGGGATTACAGGTGCCAACATACCTAGCTAATTTTTGTATTTTTAGTAGAGAAGAGGTTTCACCATGTTGGCCAAGCTGATCTTGACCTCAAGTGATCTGCCCACCTCGGCCTCCCAAAGCGCTGGGATTACAGGGCAGGGATTAATGTTTTAACAGATTTTAAATTGCCTGAAGTCCTTTCTTTCCATGTGTGTATTTCCCGTAAATTTCTTGAGGTTGCTGTAACTGCGTGACATTCATTCATCTCCTCCTGGCTGTGATGTGCTTTATGATGATTGAGATTTTGTGGTCTTGCAATGTTTGGGTACCTAGATTGGACTTTGAGTCTTCACTTTTCTGTGAAGGAAACTGAAGTGGAGAGAAGGATGTGTCTCTTGAGGTGACCCAGTACCCGGGAGCACCAACAATGACTTGTGCCGGGAAGTTGTAGTCATGGCCTTGGAATTTCCTTCTGAGCCACACAACAGCCTGGGTCAGAGGTCAGATCATGAGGGGCTGCTGTCCCGCATCCGACATCCTCAGGGTGTCCTGTGGTTTAAGGGACTGTGCTCGGGGAAGACGTGCTGTCAGCGGTAAGTCACTGGTAGGGCCTTGGCTTTTGAAATCTAAATTTTCTGTCTGATGACTAAGTTTTAAAGGATAGCATTTCAGGTGGTTTGGGGAGTATTGGTAATTTTCCTAACTGAAGCATATCTTGGAAGGTTGTTTGTTTTGTGCAATTCTAGTGAGTCATTAATATTGCTGATTTTAATGTCTTGTAAATTTATTGTCTCAAAAATGAATATCAGAAACAACGTGGTGGCTTGCTTTTCACGGGGATGTCAACGAGTAGGCAATTGGTAACTAGACTAAAAAAATGTTTTGGCAGGCCTGTGAACATCTCACTAAACAGCTCTCCTCCCTCACCGTACCTTCCCTCAGCCCCGCCCCACAGTGTCTTCCCTGAAATAGTTTCAGTGTAAATTAGCCTCAGGAAACTAAGAGAATACAGGTGTCAATTGACTATTTTTTTACTTTTTGTTTTAAAAAACACATGTTTTTTTCTGGGTTCAGGATCAATTTGCACAACTGCATTACATTTCTATAAAAATGCTCTAGGCCAGGCACGGTGGCTCATGCTTGTAATCCCAGCACTTTGGGAGGCTAAGGTGGGGAGGGTCACTGGAGTCCAAGAATTTACATAGTGAGACGTGTCTCTACAAAAAATAAACACAGTTAGCTGGGCATGGTGGTGTGTGCCTGTAGTCCCAGATACTCAGGAGGCTGAGGTGGGAGGATCGCTTGAGCCTGGGAGGTTGAAGCTGCAGTGAGCTATGATAGCACCAACGCACTCCAGCCTAGGAGACAGAGCAAAACCCTGTCTATAAAAATAAATAAAATAAAATAAAATAAAATAAAATAAAATAAAATAAAATAAAATAAAACAAATAAAATAAATAAAATAAAGTAAGCCTGATAGTATCTACCTCCTGTCCTACAAGGACTATGGGTTCAACACATATTATTTCCAAAACCATACAACTGATAATAATTAACAGCTAACGTTATGATGAGTATATACTTCGTACCAGGTACAGCACTAAGAAATTTCCAAACATTACTTAATTTAATCATTGCAGGATTCCTAAGAGGTAGACGCTATTTTATCCCTCTTGTACAGACAAGGAACAAGGCTTAAAAAGATGAGGTAAGCTGGTCATGTTGGATCACTCCTGTAATTCCAGTGCTTGTCTGGGAGGCCAAGGCAGGAGGATCAATTGAGCCCAGGAGGTTGAGGCTGCAGTGAGCCAAGATCACACCATTGCACACCAGCCTGGACAACAGAGCAAGACCCTTTCTCAAAAAAATAAATAAAAACCCAAATGAAACAAAAACATTCTAAACAGTGGAACTAGGATTCTTTCTTCTCAGCTCCTCCTGCACAGGCATATACCATGGCATAGAAATTATTTTGCAGGCCAGGTGCGGTGGCTCACACCTGTAATTGCATCATTTTGGGAGGCCAAGGCGGGTGGATCACCTGAGGTCAGGAGTTCGAGACCAGCCTGGCCAACATGGTGAAACCCCATCTCTACCAAAAATGCAAAAAATTAGCCTGGCATGGTGGCGGGTGCCTATAATCCCAGCTACTCGGGAGGCTGAGGCAGGAGAATCGCATGAACTCAGGAGGCAGAAGTTGCAGTGAGCCATGATCGTGCCACTTCACTCCAGCCTGAGTGACAGAGGGAGACACTGGCTCAAAAAAAAAAAAAAAAGAAAGAAAGAAGGAAGAAGAAATTATTTTGCAAAGGGCAAGAAAGAAAAGGGAGACAGAGGACATCAACAAGTGGCTAAACCAAAAAGACACAGAGGAAAGAAAGGTGGTATGTTGAGAAAAGGGTGATAGGAAGCAATACATGCAAATAGGGTTGACTTTTTTTTGAATTCAAAGAGCAACTATTCTCAGTAAGACATATTTGGTTTTCTTTTCTTTTTTTCTTTTTTTTTTTTTTTTGACTCAAGATGTTTGCACTGTCTTTAAGAAATGGCTTTGCTATGGCGGGGTGTGGTGGCTCATGCCTATAATCCTAGCACTTTGGGAGGCCAAGGCGGGAAGATCACGTGAGGCCAGGAGTTCGAGACCAGCCTGGCCAACGTGGTGAAACCCCGTCTCTACTAAAAATACAAAAATTACAGGAGCGTGTTGGCAGGCACCTGTAATCCCAGCTACTCGGGAGGCTGAGGCAGGAGAATCGCTTGAACCCGGGAGGTGGAGGTTGCAGTGAGCCGAGATCATGCCACTGCACTCCAGCCTGGGCAACAAAATGAGACTCCATCTCACAAAGAGAGAGAGAGAGAAAGAAAGAGAGAGAGAGAAAAGACTTTGCCAAACGTTAAATTCTATTACTTTCCGTGTCCCTGTGTGGTGTGGGCAGCAGAATGTTCTGAAGTTGCTGTCTTATGACTGTTTCCAATCTAAGCCTAAACCAGAAAAATTAAATTCCAACTCTGATCTGGGTACTCTGCACCTCTCCAAATAGGGTCACTCATCTTTCTAGATAAAGTTTCTTTTTTACACTTTTTTTAACTGAAAAAAAAAGTAACATATTAAGTCATATTTGGGTGAGGTGGAGTGGTGTAAACCACCCAGAAGCCTAAAGCGTTGCACATCTACTCCTATATATATATTTTTTTGCCTCTTAATCCCTGTCCACGTGCATGACAATTAGGATACGTATCATTTGTTTTTTATTTTTATTTTTTGAGACAGGGTCACACTCTGTCACCCAGGGTAGAATACAGTGGCGCAATCTTGGCTCACTGCAACCACCACCTCCTGGGTTCAAGCAATTCTAGTGCCTCAGCCTCCCAAGTAGCTGGGACTACAGGCGTGCACCACCATGCCCGGCTAATTTTTTTTTTTTTGTATTTTTAGTAGAGACAGGGTTTTGCCATGTTGCCCAGGTTGGTCCCTAACTCCTGAGCTGAGGCAATCCACCTGCCTCGGCCTCCCAAAGGGCTAGGATTACAGGCGTGAGCCACCACGCCAGGCCAGGATACATATCAGTGATAGTCTGCTGTGGTCACTGAAGCTAGTATCATAAATGTGTTTACATGTTTCTGCACAGTCTTCATGTCAGAGTGTACCTTAGCAGCAAAGTTGGATAAATTGGGGCAGACACTTCACTTTCAAAAGAACACTTTTTCGTATTTCCTTTAGAATCACAGGGCACTTGGCAGGCCTCTGCTTGGGCTAGAATTGTATGGTAGCAAGGCAGTTGATTATTGGAATGGTTGCCAGTTGACATCTATGAGAAGCCTTGTTCTCTAAAGGATTTCCTTTGAGGGTGATGCCAGGGCTCCCGTAGTGTCTGAACAGCTGGAAATGAAAAAAAAAAGAAACAAAAAAAAAAACAAAACAGAACAAAACAAGGGAAAGCAGTATTATTTCACAATTGTTAGTATTGAAAAGAAAACTTCAGAGTGCCTGGCAAGCCAGACAAAGCTACAGATGTCAATTCTTTCTATGTACACACCCAGAATGGTGAAGTTTTCTGAACTGATGATAAGAACAGGATACTCTAATCTTACTTGAATATGGAACAACAGGCAGGTGCTCCCTTTTGAAAAATAAACCACAGCAGTGCTGTCAAAAGAAAGCTGTACCTTCAAAAACATGATGATTCAAAGGTGAGTCTGTTTAGACACTTCTCTGTGCTGTTTGCAGAGACATTTTGCTTTCTACAGGGAGGCATTAAAATACGGAGCATGTTTGTAAATTTCCTAGGAATTACTGTTGAGAAGAGGAAAGAAATTGGAAGACCTAGGGTGGATACTAACATCATGATAAATAGTTACTTCCTTAAATTGCTGAGCAGATAAGGTGAGATTGTTTTATGTAATGAGGATTATTTTTTTCAGATGAAAATGAGAACCTCAGGGAAGACCTTTAAGTGTGAGTGTGAACTTTGTGAGCTTGGAAATATTTCGAGAAAATGATACATTTCATCTTCTTTATTACTGCGATTAAAACTTTATTTGATCCAATAATGTCTTTCAGATACCAATTTGTTTTCATAAAATTTATTAGACTGTGATTGAGTAACTCAAGAGCATGTTTATACCCTTAACCTTTTATGATAAAACGAAGCTCAGAACTGTTTTATAGATGCAGAAAACAAACAGCATTTCTTTCTTAAAACTCTCCCCTATTCTCTGTCGAGACTTTTCTCAAATCTATGATTAAACTTTTGAAAGAATTTAACATAACTTTCTGAATGTGATACCATTTTCCTTCTTAAAACTTTTACTCTATTGACCTTAGGTTCTTTCCAATGAGAACTGAATCAGCGTAGCTCGAAATTTTTATCTAAAGTACCTGTGCAATTGCTATTATCTGCCCTACTGAAACTTGAAATTAACATTTCTAGTGTACTTTTTTGATGAAGGAATCATTTATACATTTTGGTAAAGCAGCAGCTATTTTAGTCTAATTTAAAATTGTAATGGCTTTCATTGAACTTAGGGAATGATTGAAAGGAAGCTGATGGATTTTTAAAAATTAAGTCAATCAGTGAAGATGCTTACTCTGTGCAAGGTTGATGGATTCTAATAGGACTTGAGCCCATTTTCCCACTAAGACAATTAACACCTGAAGTTAGGGGTTCAACGGGTGAATAAGGACTTTGCATAGACTCATCAAATGTCCACAGCTGCCTGCTTTGACTTGTATGTGCGGAATGGCAAGGCTTTGGATTGAAGTTTTTCCTCTGTGTTTAATCTGTTCGTTGGAGTGTTTAGGAGTATGTGAAACTTTTCTTGATTTTTCTCAGAGCTGGGGGCTGCTAAGTCATTGTTATAACTCAGAATCAAGAGACATTGAGATTAGCCCCCATGTAAGCAGGACATGCTATGTTGTTTTAGATCCCAAAACAAGGAAAACCCGACTTGATGGAAATATGGGATGACTTCTTTTGAGGAAGGAATAAGATAATTTTCTCATAGGATTTCATGACAGCTTTGGATATGTTGGTGATAAGTGAATAATCCCTGTTGAACCAGAAGAGAAGAGACTATCTTTTCTTGTTATTTGTTTAATCTTGCCGTACCTGCAAATACATTGGGGGTTAGGGCTTCACCATATGAGTTTTAGGGGAACACAATCCAGTCCATAACTCCTGGTCTCCAGGAGCTCAGGGTCGAGGAGAGGGTCACGAAGGACGCAGGGTGGCTGGCCACTGGGTGGGACTGAGCCGTGAGTGCAGTAGGCACCTTCGGCCCGCGACTGTGCTGCCACCTGCTTCCATTTGCAGAGACGCTCATTCTCATCAGGATAGCAGTTCCAAACCTAACAGGCCTTGAGAAATGTCAGCGTTATTCTTAGCCTGGAGAGTTGGTACGTCCCGTGGCGCATGAGAGAAACGAGACTGCTCTGTAGTCCCAGCTACTCAGGAGGCTGAGGTGGGAGTATCGCTAGAGCCTGGGAAGTGGAGGTTGCAGTGAGTTAAGATCATACCACTGCACCCCAGCCTGGACAACAGAGCAAGACTCTGTCTAAAAAAAAATTAAATTAAAACAAGAGCTCCCTTAGGGCCAGGCACTGTGCTAAGTGTGTAAAGGCAAGATTGTGTCTCATCTGAGACTGTCTTTTTTATCTTTCCTTGAGGAAAGATTTATGAGAAGGACCCTCATGGCTGGACAAGGAGACAGGGCCAGGATCTACTGATGCGCATCCTTTCTTTAGATCTGCTTAAAGCGGCCGGTTAGCCACTAAATACAGGGGAAAAGAACTGTATTTAATGGGGACTATACAGTCATATAAAATAGGCATTGAGTTCTCTAAAGGATTTCCTCTAAAGAAATACAAGGAAGGAAACTTATGTGTCATCTGGTCCAGAGAGGAGCGTTGGAGCTATTTCATACTAGCCTGGGAGAGCCAATTGCTACATTTTCAGGAATGTGGGGTGCCAATTATAAAGCATAGCCATTGTTAAAATGAAATTATGTACACATGCTTAAACACATGGTGTTAACAAACAAAGATAATAAAAATCTATCCCTTCCTAATTATTTTTATGGCACTTAACTGTTTTCTATGAGCTTGAGGCTATGTTTGTCTATCGTGTCTGTATGTTGGAATTACTAGCAGTGTTGTCATGACAGTGGCTTGAAATCGGACGCAGTAAAGGTATTTAGAGTGCAGCAAGACAGTTTATGGTTAGGACAGTCACCAGTTGACATCCATGAGAAGGCTTGTTCTTCAAAGGATTTCCTTTGAGGGTGATGCCAGGCTCCAGCAAATGCTACAAATCAGGCTTTTTCCTTCCAGAAAGCCAGTTGTTAAATATTCACCAGCACCCCACTGGGCTCGGCCCATTTATTTTTGGATATGAGACAGGGGCATGGAGACGAACGGTAACTTGTCCAGAGTCCTGCAGCCCCTTGTAAGCAGCAGGACCAACACTAGACTTGGGTCTCCCAGGCTTCCTGTTATACCACTCAGAGATTTCAGTCCTGAAAGGCACAAGGGACGGGGTTGGATTTGCCTGTGGGTTCATATCGCCAGTGCTTTTCTATTATTGGTGACAGCGCTGTAGGGAATCAGGTCATACACAAGGAGGGGGCCGATTAACTAACACAGAAATCAAATTCATTGCCAGGTGGGTGGTCATCTGCTTTCTGGTTACCAGCAAGTGGGATAAATGAAGAGGAGACAGAGATTGGATCCTGAGCTGTGTCCCTAATGCATGCGGGTACAATTATTGAATGGAAGAATAAGTGAAGAATGAACAACACCCACCACCCCTGAGAATATGTTATATATATATTTGCTAATTTATTTTACATCTCCCTTATTAGAATATAAGCTCCATGAGGATGGGAACTTTGTCTTGTGTGCTGTGGTACACCCAGCTCCCAGAAAAGTGCCTGGCATATAGAAAGTGCTCAATTGATATTTTCTTTTTTTTGAAAGGGAGTTTTGCTCTTGTTGCCCAGGCTGGAGTGCAGTGGCGCGATCTCGGCTCACTGCAACCTCCACCTCCTGGGTTCAAGCGATTCTCCTGCCTCAGCCTCCCAAGTAGCTGGGATTACAGGTATGCACCACCACGCCCGGCTAATTTTGTATTTTTAGTAGAGACGGGGTTTCTCCATGTTAGTCAGGCTCCAGGTTGGTCTCAAACTCCTGACCTCAGGTGATCCGCCCACCTTGGCCTCCTAAAGTACTGGGATTACAGGCGTGAGCCACCGCGCCCGGCCTCAATAGATATTTTTGAATGAATGAATGAACTGATCCTTCCAACTCCTGGCATTATACAGTGCCGACTCCCAGAGGAAGTTTTGCCCAGAGGAATATGCCTGGCAGAGTGCAGCGTCGGCGACCCTCTAACCCTTTGTCTGGCTGCTAGACTCTCAGTGACTACCATTTCTCTTCCCTCTTAGATGACGGAGGGCCGCCGATGTCAAGTACATCTTCTTGATGACAGGAAGCTGGAACTCCTAGTACAGGTAAATCGCTTTTGGTCAACTTTCTGAGTTTCTTTGGTGACTGATGTGGTTTCAGACCTTGATCCAGCTGGGGATGAAGGGGGATTTGGTAAACTGTTTTTAAATCTCTGTTAATATCTGTGAGAGAATGACTAGGACCCACCAGGGTGTTTTGTGTGTGTGCTATTTTGGTTGTATCTGTACACCAGCCTAAGGCATCCAAGGCCAGATGTACATCTACCCTATTGTTACAAATTTCTAGAAAAGGAAATTCCACAATGCCCTTAGCTATTCTTTCTGCCTGGAAGGAGTTAACTACAATGTAACCTAAGTAACTCTTGCTGTAACTAAAATTGATTTAGTCTTCCTTGCTCAGAGGGGATAGAAAAAGGTTTGGTTCTTTTTGTTTGTTTTTTTGTTTTGTTTTGTTTTGAGACAGAGTCTCGCTCTTGTTGCCCAGACTGAAGTGCAGTGGCACGATCTCAGCTCACTGCAACCTCTGCCTCCCAGGTTCAAGCGATTCTCCTGCCTCAGCCTCCCAAGTAGCTGGGATTACAGGCATGTGCCACCATTCCTGGCTAATTTTTTATATTTTTAGTTGAGACGGGGTTTCTCCATGCTGGTCAGACTGGTCTGGAACTCCTGACCTCAGGTGATCTGCCTGCCTCGGCCTCCCAAAGTGCTGGGATTATAGACATGAGCCACTGTGCCTGGCCTAAAGGTTTGTTCTTTTCTTTTCCAGTTGAGATTAAAGAGGAACAATCTCTGTACTCGGTCCTCTTTCTAAGTGCTAAGCGACCCCCTTCTTACCCCATCTCATGAGTTGACATTGGCATCACTTGTGAGCATCTGGAGAAACTGAGATGCAGGAAATCAATCAATTCCAACTAAGAACACATCAGTGTCAGCAAAATTGGAGAAGTAATTGGAATCATAGACCCTCACCTTTTTCAACTTGTTCTTAAACAGACCATTGTTTGACCCAAAGCTCTAAAGAATGGTGTCTCCAACTCTGACTTTAAAAGTTTACCATTCCAGATCTGTTGTTCAATGCCAATTTTTATTACATTTGCTTGCTGTTTATTCTTAGATGTCTATCTCCAAGTCCTAGAGCATTGTGTCTCATTCTCTATCACATTTTGTTGTGAGGAAGCTGCAGTTCATCAGTGAGTTGAGAGGATGCCATCTGCTCATGGGGGAAGTGATGCTACTTCGAAGGGGAAACTCGCATGCAGACACTTTCGTCTTGCGTTGCCTTGTACATGCTGCTTGGAATTGAAAATGTTCAAACTGCTGACTTTGAGTGAATACTTTTAATAGGATTCAAATGATAAAGGCTTTATAAATGCAATATAGGAAACAGAAAATAGGAAAAAGGCTCATAAGCACATGACACTAATTCAAGTGTTGTTCCCTTTTTGGTGGATTTCTTTCCAGCATTTTTCATATTTATATTTCTTGCATGGCTGTAATCATAGTACATGTATAATTCTACATATCTTATTTTTCCTTTTCCACTTACCATTGTCTTTCGCTAACATTTTCTAAGTTATGGTAATACTGTAAATTGTCATTCTCCTGAACAGCTGCATAAATTCTAGAAATTGATATACCATTATTATCTAATCATTTCCCCATTTGAGTATATTTAAGGGATTTAAAAAAAAAAATTTTACCACTATTACAAGTAAATGCTGTGATTAACATATCCCTATATATAGGGTTCTCCTGCATTTTAGATTACGGCTGTTTTAGGCTAGACTCTATGGCCTAAAGTCATTAAAAGTCAAATTTGTGGTTTGAATTTGGAAGAATGAGGCAATAAAGGGAAACCATCAAATTGAGTGAGATCTCGTTAATTAGCAGAATCGTTAACTGAGAAACATTTGAAGCTTCAAATTGCCAAGACTCAGTGCGAAGAGTTTATAGGCGAGTGGTCTGGTGTATTTTACATGCTTTTCCTGAATCAAAGCTTGGAGGTTTAGAAAGAAGCCACCTTCTGGAATAGGAAATGAGACCTCAAATGGCAGTTTAGAAACTATCTCTTGGCCAGCCTGCTTTCAGAAAAAAATAGATTTAATTACTGATGTGTGCAGTTTGGGAACAGTTGTCCTCAACCCTATAAAATCAAGAAAATGTTGAATTAGGCGAACGAGAGAAGTTCATGTTCTTTCCACTGCTTTATAGAACAGGCTTCCTGTGTTATTCTCTCTTCCTAGAACACGCTCCTTCCCACACCCCCGCGCCCTGGACCTGGCTGGTCTCTCTTAGGTCTTTACATCACAAATTGGAAGACACCCTCCACCAAGGCTTTCCCTGACCCCCTCCGCCTAGTCTGTACTGCGTTTCTTTCTTATGACATGGCCACACCTCGCTGTGATTGGTTGTGTACTTGTTATCACTTCCTGGAGCCCCCAACAGTTTGAGGGCTAGATCTGTGTCTCCATCATGGTGTATCCCCAGTACCTAGCCCAGGGTCAGGCACATAATGTCACTAAATAAAGACTTGTTGAATGAAAGAATGGACAAACCTAAGATGTCTTGACATGACTTCCCCCAAAGACTTCTTGCCAGAGTACCAGTTGCTTCACAGAGGATTTAGCTTAACACACACACACACACACACACACACACACACACACACACACACTTGCACAAAATCCATCTATAGATACACACACTATCTACCTATACATAGATACACACACAATCTATCTACACACTGAGAGATATACACACTACCTATACATAGATAGATACACGCACTATTTATCTAGGCATTGATAGTGCGTGTATCTATGTATACATAGATAGATAGATAGATAGATAGATAGATAGATAGATAGATAGATAGTATTTGTGTGTGGTAAGCTAAATACATATATATATTTATATTTATATATATGGAAAGGTTCTAAATTAATTGCAGAATGGGCTTTAGCAAAACTTGGAGAAACAAAATTAAAACTACTGAATGAAAGGCAGCTTAAATCTATCACTCTTTTTTTTCTCCTCTGCAAAATTCTGTTGCCCAGGATTCTATCTGTTGGGCAGTATCCTTTCTAAAGGGAATCTGGATTCTCTAGCTCATCTGGACCCACCTCTAGGTTTTTAATAAAACATTTGACCTAAACTATTTCATATTTTACATTCAGAGAGTGGTAGCCTTCAGGTTCATTTATACTTTAGTCATCAAAATATATTAAACACTGAGACTGATATTGTTAAGAATAATTTCAGAACATTTGTAATAAGCCTTAGACAAAGCAATGCCTTTCCTGATCTTTTGACCTGGAGCTGTAGAAATGGGGATGGGTGGGAAAGACACCTACATTGACCTGACAAGGTTTGTAACATGGAGAGTCAGGTTTAGAGCAAGTGTTTCTCTCCCCCAGAGAAGTAAATGGGTGTGCATGAGGGTGGCTGACTGAAAGATATTAATAAGATGGGGCAGATTGGGGAGGTTAGTTTTTACCCACTATGAGGATAGCATACTCATCAAAGGCTATACCTCAGATCTTCAGACACAGAGGAGCTTCTATGGCATCAGTGTTGGGCGAGAAAGCTGACGGCATCCAAACCGACTCCCCATTTGCCTCTTGCCAGGAGGATGCAGTAAGCAGACAACCACACAGATAATTTCATGCAGCACTGTAAACTCGGCCACTCCGAGCATAACATTTCCCTTCTTTGGGTTGCAGAGAAAAAATGCCTGTCATCCTAATGTTTCATGCTTATTCCATATAGCACTTTGAGATTACCAAGTGAAATCTGTGCTTCCAAATCCTCTATTGCTCTGAGTAGATCATACGTTACTCACAGTAGGGGAGGGCAAACAGTCAAGAGTGACATACTAGGAATTAATATTTGAGACGCTCATCCCTAAATCCACAGGCAATTTCCTGACACCCACGTCTTTACCAGGTAGCTCCTTAAGTCCTGAAATTCCACTTAAGAGCAGCTGGAAGGTGACGTGAGCATTCAGCCCCAGAGCATGCCTGCAGCCTTGGTTGTGGACACATGCAGGTTGCATAGACAGATTGCCCTGCAGTTCAGCCCACAGACAGCATCTTCTGCTCTGTCTTCCAAAATTGTTTCCACCAGTTGGAAATGTACTTTAAAAAAAGCCTTTATCAGGCCGGATGCAGTGGCTTACACCTGTAATCCCAGCACTTTGGGAGGCCAAGGAGAGTGGATCACTTGAGGTCAGGAGTTCGAGACCAGCCTGGCCAACATGGTGAAACCCTGCCTCTACTAAAAATACAAAAAAAAAAAAAAAAATAGCTCGGTGTGGTTGTGCACGCCTGTAATCCCAGCTACTTGGGAAGATGAGACAGGAGAATCACTTGAACCTGGGAGGCGGAGGTTGCAGTGAGCCAAGATCACACCACTGCACTCCAGCCTGGGCGACAGAGCAAGACTTTGTCCCCCACCTGAAAAAAAGAAAAAAAGCCTTCATCAAAATGAGAGGAGCCACCCTCATCGCAGTCTTGGAACCTTCTGGAGGACGCTATAGCCAGATATGGGGGGCGGAGCATGTTTTATGGTCAGCCGAACTCCCTAAGTCTCGTTGTCATATCCTTGCTCCTTGAAAATTATTTTCTTCATTTATTCTCTGACCCGAATGTATATTTGGGGGAGTATGTTGAGAGCAGAGAAAGGGAAGTGTGCTTTAGCCATAGTGAGAATGATTTAAGTAAGAATTTCCGGACAGTGAGAGTTGCTAGATGGGGTACAGGAAGCCGTTAGTAGGAAAGATTCTGGACTCTTTCTCTTGACCTTCATAAAAATAGAGTGGATTTTCACTAGAATGGAATGGCTGAGGTGTGGCCCTTCCTTATTTGGTTCTCTTGAGGCTTGTGAGACTGTAGATATCCTGTCTCACAGGGAGCCTGCCCAGTGCCAGAAAAACCGACCTGACCTTCTACTGCTAGACAGGCTTCGTTTCAGTGCTTCTCCCCATCACTTTAGATGAATGGTTGGCCGAATTTCTTCCCCATCCCCACTTTTTGGGTTTTTTTTTTTTTTTTTTTTTTTTGAGAGAGTCTTGCTCTATCGCCCAGGCTAGAGTGCAGTGGTGCAATCTTGGCTCACTGCAACCTCCACTTCCTGGGTTCAAACGATCTCCTGTCTCAGCCTCCCGAGTAGCTGGGACTACAGGCCTGCATCACCATGCCCAGCTACTTTTGTATTTTTAGTAGAGACAGGGTTGCGCCGTGTTGACGAGGCTGGTCTGGAATTCCTGACCTCAGGTGACCCACCCACAACAGCCTCCCACAAAGTGCTGGGATTACAGGTGTGAACCACCACACCTGGCCCCCACTTTTTTTTCAGGCAGGGTCTCGCTCTATCAACCAGCTGTGGTGCAGTGGTGCGATTACAGCTCACTGCAACCTCAACCTTCTGGGCTCAAGTGATCCTCCCATCTCAGCCTCTCCAGTAGCTGGGGCTAACAGATGTGCATTGCTAATTTTTTAAATTTTTAGAGAGACAGGGTCTCCCTCTGCTGCCCAGGCTGGTCTCCAACTCCAGATCCCAAGTGATTCTCCTGCCTTGGTCCTTTCCTTCTCAAAGTGTTAAGATGGCAGGCGTGAGCCACTGCCAACACGCCCGGCCCTTCTTCCCTTTGATGATAAGAGCTTTACACATAGGAGTGCTCTCCATCCCCTCAATTCTGCCACAGTGAACCTCGCACCTTGCTTTCTCCAGGGAGCTGCCGCATGATGTGAGTCTCCTTTCCAAGTTCCAAGCTGCCCTAGGATTTCCACATCTCTCCCCTCTGACCCAGTCCCTTAGTGGCCATTGGCAAGACATTTACAACTGTCCACTGTGTGCAAATAGAGGAACAAAGCGTCCCTATGATTCCAAGAAGTGGAGCAAACTGTGACTAGTCTGTGTTTTCTAAGGGAATTAAAGATAACAGTTAGATTATTGCCATGTCTTACCCAGGGCTCATAATCCTGAGATTATGAGGAGACATAATCTCCTCATAACCAAGACAGAAGCATTTGGAAAGATCTAAGCTGCACCTCGTGGTACAGTAGCCACCAGCCACATGTGGCCATTGAGCAAAATGTGGCCAGTGCAAATGGAGATGTATGCAAGTATAAATCACACGCCAGCTGTGTGCAAGCATAAATCACACGCCAGCTGTGAGCAAGTATAAATCACACACCAGCTTGTGAAGACTTCCTATGAAACTTAAGTAAAATGTCTTGTAAATAATTTTTGCCTTGGTGAGTCCGTGTTAAAATGATAATATTTTGGATATATTAAGATAAAATAAATATACAATAAATTTCACCTTTAAACTTTTTAAATATGGCTAAAAAAATTAAAATCTTGGTCCAGGTGTGGTGGCTCATGCCTGTAATCCCAGCACTTTGGGAGGCTGAGGTGGGCAGATCATGAGGTCAGGAGATCAAGACCATCCTGGCCAACATGCTGAAACCCTGTCTCTACCAGGCATGGTGGCGTGCGCCTGTAGTCCCAGCTACTCGGGAGGCTGAGGCAAGGGAATCACTTGAACCTGGGAGGTGGAAGTTGCAGTGAGTCGAGGTCACGCCACTGCACTCCAGCCCAGCAACAGAGCAAGACTCCATCTCAAAAAAAAAAAAATTAAAATCTTATATTGGGCTAACTTTTGTGGCTCACGTTGTATTTCTTTTGGATGGCTATTTCTAGAGCAGTAGGCCCAAACCTTTTGGCACCAGGGACTGGTTTCATGAAAGACAATTTTTCCACAGATGGGGTGTGGGAGGTATGGTTTCAGGATGATTCAAGCATATTACATTTATTGTGCACTTTATTTCCATGATTACTACATTGTAACATATAATGAAATAATTCTACAGCTCACCATAATGTCAAATCAGTGGGAGCCCTGAGCTTGTTTTCCTGCAACTAGATGGTCCCACATGTGAGTGATGGGCATCAGGCATTAGAATCTTTTTTTTTTTTTTAATTTTTGAGACAGAGTCTTGCTTTGTCACCAGGCTGGAGTGAAGTGGTGCAATCTCAGCTCACTGTAACCTTCGCCTCCTGAGTTCAAGCGATTCTCCTGCCTCAGCCTCCTGAGTGGCTGGGATTACAGGCAGGCGCCACCACACCCAACTAATTTTTGTATTTTTAGTAGAGACAGGGTTTCACCATGTTGGCCAGGACAGTCTCAATCTCCTGACCTCATGATCCACCCGCCTCGGCCTCCCAAAATGCTGGGATTACAGGTGTGAGCCACCACGCCTGGCCTAGATTCTTATAAGGAGTGTGCAAACTAGATCCCTCACGTGTATAGTTCACCGTAGGGTTTGGACTCCTGCGAGAATCTAATGCTGCTGCTGATCTGACAGGAGGTGGGGCTCAGGCAGTAATGCAAGCAATGGGGAGAGGCTATAAGTATAGGTGAAGCTTCTCTCGCTGCTCATCTCCTGCTGTGCAGCCCCATTCCTAACAGGCCATAGACTGGTACCAGTCCATGGCCCAGGGGTTGGGGATTCCTGCTATAGAAGATAGAAAACAATTTAAGCTAGAGAAAATATTATGAAGGCAATCGAATTGTTTGGGGTTACCCAGATATAATACTGGATGTTTGGCACAATAATGACTACATTTTACAATTCTTTTTCTTTTTCTTTTTCTTTTTTTGTTTTGTTTTGAGACGAAGTCTCACTCTGTCGCCCAGGCTGGAGTGCAGTGACGTGATCTCTGCTCACGGCAACCTCTGCCTCCCGGGTTCAAGTGATTTTCCCACCTCAGCCTCCAGAGTTGCTGGGATTACAGGCACCCGCCATCATGCCCGGCTAATTTTTGTGTGTTTGTAAAGACGGGATTTCACTGTGTTGGCCAGGCTTCTCTGAAACTCCTGATCTCAGGTGATCCACCCGCCTTGGCCTCCCAAAGTGCTGGGATTACAGGCATGAGCCACTACACCTGGCCTACAATTCTTTATAGAATTTATATGGAGCATATCTTATTTAATCCTCACAGTAACTGTGTAAAGTAGGTGCCAAGCAAACAGAAATTCAGAAAGATTAAATAACTTGCTCAAGGTCACGTAGCTAGTGAAGTATAGGTAGCTCGAGCATAGGTCCTCTGATAGTATAGCCCATTCTCTTTTCACTGCACCATAACCAGTATATATAATAAAAACCCAAGATTCACAAGATATGATCTATTAATAGTTCACCTGGAATATGCTCCTCTGCCAGCCCCTGACACCAGAGCCATAAACGATGGCAACCAAAGACTTCGAACCTTATCTCAGGTCTGCAATGGAAGATGGGCTTACCCAGGTCATTTCATTCCTGTGAACTCACTTCCTAACCTATCTGGGAAAGCCTGAAACATGTGACACATCCTCATGAAGGACTTGTGCGTCCTGCGTAAGTCTCGGGCTAGCAGGTGTGGAAGACACTTCCACAGCAGTGGATGAAATAATGGTCGCCTTCCTGTCACTTTCCTCTGTCTGACAGCGATGCTGGTGATATCCCATCTTAAAGGTCGAGTACATTAATATGGGCTGTCAGTAAAATAGCACTGAGGGCAAGTAAATAGTCTGGGCTATTATGGGCTAGAAAAAAAAATGTATGACTTTTTAAAAATCTAGAACTGTAATAATCTTACCTAAAATAGGTGAATAAACTTGGTTCTCTTTTTTTTTGAGATGGAGCCTCACTCTGTCACCCAGGCTGGGGTGCAGTGGTGTAATCTCGGCTTACTGGCTTATTGCAACCTCCACCTCCTGGGTTCAAGCAATTCTCCTGCCTCAGCCTCCTGGGTTCAAGTGCTTCTCCTGCCTCAGCCTCCCAAGTAGCTGGGATTACAGGCACCTGCCACCACCCACAGCTTATTTTTTTATTTTTAGTAGAGGCGGGATTTCACCATGTTGGCCAGGCTGGTCTCGAACTCCTGATCTCAGGTGATCCACCCACCTCGGCCTCCCAAATGCTGGGATTACAGGTATGAGCCACTGCGCCCGGCCTAAACTTGGATTCTCTATGCACAGGTGCACACCCATGTTTATATTCACCCTCATAGCCCAGCCTTAGCAACTTCTGTGGTTAATGATATTCTGCAAAAATGCAAGAGATGGCCAGGTGCTGTGGCTCACACCTGTAATCCCAACACTTTGGGAGGCCGAGGCGGGTGGGTCACCTGAGGTCGGGACTTTGAGACCAGCCTGACCAACATGGTGAAAGCCCGTCTCTACTAAAAATACAAAATTAGCCGGGCATGGTGGTGCATGCCTGTATCCCAGCTACTCGGGAGGCTGAGGCAGGAGAATCCCTTGAACGTGGGAGATGGAGGTTGCAGTGAGCCAAGATCGCACCATTGCACTCTAGCCTGGGCAACAAGAGCGAACTCCGTATCAAAAAAAAAAAAAAAATGCAGGAGATTGTTTTCTACCAAGTAAAGCAGGAATCCCCCCCAAAGTGCATGTTGCCAAGCAGAGAATATGGAGTTGATTCCGTGTCTTCCCAACTGAGTAGTGTGGGCAGGTGGGCTCATTGTGGTCTGCCTGCTGGGCCATCTACCGAGGCGTGCTCCAGGTCTGCCATCTGCTCCTGTCTGGTCTGAATCCACCAGGAGTTTCTGTCACAGCCAAGGGCTGGGAAGGCGTGTGCAGAAGCTGGGAGCAGACAGAGGGACTCAGTGTTATGAACCTTCTGTCCGGGACCTCCCAGGCCACCAGGCCACCTCCTGAAACAAGAGCCAAAGGGGTTCAGGCAGCCCCACTTTGGGCTGACCTCACACCTCACTGCGATCCCATCATCATTTATTAGGCTCCTCTCTGCAAAGCTGGGCACTCCACCAAATGAGCAAAACAGATGTCTTCCCAGCCCCCAGGGGTGGCTGATAATATTTAACATTTGAAAAGCACATGGTGAAGAAAGACATGGTAAGATATAGAGCACAGACAGATAACGCAATGGTAAATCTATTTGTAATAAAAAACGCATTGAGTGATGGAGAGGAATAAGAAATAGTCCATAAAACATACTCTTGGGGAGCACAAGCAGCTAAGTCGTTTCCCCCTTGGTAAGGAGGGAGGAGACACGATCCATCTTCCTTCTTCAGCCAAGGCCTTTGTAGAAAAGTCGGTAAGCTTTCTTTCTGCCCTGGTTAGAACAAAGGGGAATTCCAGTCTCCCCAAGAGGCTGTGAGAGAGGGCTGAGCATCAGGATACAGCAGATTGATGCGATCATCTAGGGAACCCCCTGCCGCGTTTACACACACACACACACACACACACACACACGTACACACACACACTCACACCCAGGTGCTGGTTGAGGAGAGGAGAAGAGACCATCCCCATCTCCCCAGCCTAATGGGTCCACGCTGCCAGTTGCCTGGCAACACCCCTTCTTTGCGCCCCTGCCCCCCTCCCCCTTCTTCCTGGACCACCTCCATGTCTGTGCTCCTTGTCCCTTTGATGCCAATTTTAACCTGTTGTAAAATGTATTCATTGAAACCATTTGAAATTGCCAATATTTGGCAGACTTTGTCCTGCTAAGGGGACAATTTCATGTGGCTCAAACGTAAAGGGAGAGAGAAAAAAAGGGAGAGAAGACTTAGCCCTCCAGAACATTGCAGGTGGTTGTTTCTTTTACTACTGAGTTATTTTTTCCGTGATATCTTCACAAAATCCTTTCCATGTCCTCTCTATGGTGCCCCATAGGAGACTCTGTGCAGATGGGAGCCTCAGGATAGGACATTAAACTACATGCTCCTAGTTTCTGTCTTTCTGCTAATGGGGGATAAGAAGGGATTGGGGAGATTAAAACAAACTCAACTCACAATGCAGTTCTGCAAAATGCAAACGACTGTATTTACAGGGGAAAGGCACACACGTGTGCACACACCTCTATGTAGAGCATAAGGATGGGGTCACAGGGACCCAAGGGGTAACAAATCTGTGGCTGTCATCGTTTTTATTAATCCATAACTCACAGTTTGATTTTGGGCACATTGCTTAATTCAAGTTCTTGCTTGTTTGGTAAATATTTATTATTTGTCTACCGCTGTGCTATGCAGATCTAAGCATCCGTTTATTTGGGTTAGGAGTTCCTGTCTAGAGGTGGTCAATGATTATTTTGGTTGCAGAACTTTTTACGAGTCCAGGAGTGGCTGGTTCTTCCGTTTCCTAAAATGGGCTGAGTGTTCTTCCTCAGCTCTGCTGTGCCTGGAATGGCTTCCCTTGTCCACACATCCCACCCGCTGGACCCTGTCCTTTCTTGTAAGGGGATCCAGGAGGACATGAGGAGGCAGATTTACTCATCTGGCAGCCTCTGCTGCAACTTGTCCCATCCAGTGGAAGGAAGGAAGGGAGGAAGGGAGGAAGGGAGGGAGGGAAGGAGGGAGGGAGCGAGCGAGCCCCTCCCCTGAGAGAGGAGTGCAGCCTGGCCAGGTATCCCTGGTGGTGGAGGGAGGAAGCGAACGGTCTGGGGAAATCTCAGCTGCTCTGTATTTTTCTCTGAGTCTTCTACCCCAGCGGGCCTTCCCTATCGCCCTTGAATCTCTGTTTGTGGCTTCCTGGCTTGCCCAGCACAGAGCTGAGAGTTCAGCTGTCAAAGCCATGTGGAAGATTTCCATATTTTGCCAGAGCCCCTGTCCCACCCCTGGGGCCGCCCACTAGGTCTTTGTGACTGAACACCTCGGTGGCAGCCCCAGCACCTCATGGCAACCGAAGCCCATCATTCCTACTCCTCCTCCAACCCGGGTCATCTTGTTCTTGCACCTGCTTTGAAAGCAAGCCCACAGTTCTCCAAATTGGCCAGGCTTTAGAAGCCAGGAAATTTTTTTCTGTGCCCATCAATGACATCCTTAAGTCTTGCCTGTTTTTTCACTGGTAAGGGAACAACTTTCCTTCTCCTCTCCAATACATGCCCCAGTGTAGACATTTGCCACCCTGGACTCAGCATCCTCTGTGTGCCCATTGTCACCAGAGCAGCTCCTTGCCACCCTGCCTAGTTCCATGTTCCTGGCCATCCCCGTTTGTCCTATATGACACAACCAGAGTATCCATCCTTCCAGGCTCCTTCATGACTTACCCCTGCTCAGGAGCCATCAACAGCCCATACTATTGGATTGCTCTCTTTGACTCTCGAGTTCCTCCATGATATGACTGTGAGCTGTTTACGAGAGACAGTGTATCAGAGAGGTGAGGAGTACAGTTGTGCCCAAACCACCTACTCTCTGGGCAGGCCCTATGCCATTACAGTCACCACACTCTGCCCAGCGGAGCTGGGGCCTTGAACTTTACAATTGCAGGGAGTTGCATCCATAGTAATGGACAGAAGCCACCATGTGACCCTACTATAGAGTCTTGTAGACCAACGATTCTCAAACTTCTTTTTGCTGCAAAATTCTTTGTCCAATATCAGCACATGGAGAAGGTCTGAACCCCATCACCTTCACCCCCAAGCCCACTGACAGGGAGGCTCTGCGGGGATCTCAGCAGACTCCTGTGGGTTTGCAAATCTCTGCTTTAGGTAGAAACCAGATGATAGAAAATGTAAGCATCCTTTATGCTAATAAGCAAACACATTCCTGAAAAGTTCAATGTATTAGTTGGTGCGAAAGTAATTGCATTAAAAGTAATGGCAAAAACCACAATTACTTTGGCACCAACCTAATAGATTGAACCTGAATTTTATACACCATATTTCAAATGCTTTGGGAAATTATATAGCTTAGTGATTAATCATCATATTAGCTAATTGAACGCTTATTTTTGTACCAGACTCTGTTCTAAGCGTTTAATATGTGCTGAGTCATCTTTTCAGCCCCACAACTCTATGAGGTAGGTAACTGTTATTATTCCCATTTTTTCAGATGAGGAAATTGGGGCACAGAGAAGTAAAGTAACTTATTCAGAGTTGTACAGCAAATGGGAGAACTGATTCAAAACCAGGCCACCTGAATGCAGAGGACCAGCAGGTTCCAGCACGCTGAGAGCACAGGCTCTGGGGCCGGTTGGGTTGGCTTCAAAACCTGACTCTGATGCTTGACAGCTTCGTGACCTTGGCCATTTGCACAACCTCCTTAACCTTCAGTTTCTTCATCTGTAAACGGAGAACACTGGCTGCCTCCTGTCTTGCTGCTCTAATTTTCTCTGTAAATTGAAACTAGTACCTGCCTCATAGACTTGTGATTAGGGTTAAATTCACTAGAACATCTGAAGCGCCCCCAAGACTGTCTGGCACAACATGGGCATCTCTTAGGCTGGGATCAGAGGCCTCGGCCAGACTGCTTAGTAGCTATGGTAACCCAGGCAAGTCACTGGCCTTTGCTACCTCGTGTGTAAAATGGGAATGTTAACTACCTTGGCTTTTGAGGAAAGCATTTAAGAGACTATTAAGTGCTACATAATTTATGGTGCTATTATCCCTAATAATCTGGTCTTCTATACGATTTCATGCAAGGCTTCATGGAGTAGTCGTAGAGTTCAGTATCAGTTCACTTGAAAAGTGATGGGTTGACAGTCCATCAAAAAATGTCTTAACTGCCCAACCTTCCAGATCTCCAACACATCATCCCCTGATCTTTTCATGAACACTGGTGATTACTGCTCATCCCTCCAACGCCATATATAACTCATGTGTCAAGGTCATAGGATGACAGGCAGAATATATATGCACATGTGTTCATACTGAGTTCAGATTACCATCTAAATAAGTGGACTAGGTTTTGTGCTCCAGTGATGTCAAATCAGTCATCATTCTTGGGGATAAAATAGAAAACATGATTTCAATGGTTGCGTCCCAGTATCATGTAAATGACCCCATCCTTAAGGCTTTATATTAAAATGATACTGAAGCACAACTATATCCGAATGGATCATATTGGTTTTGATCTGTGGGAAGGTCTGTACTGAAGGCACACTGTATCCCTTATCAACCAGACAGTGACTGGTCTTTCCAGCCCATTACTCATACACGAAATTGCCACAAGTTCATGTACTAACTGTTGCTTCCCAATAGGGGCTGTATCCTTCCTAGAGACTGCAGTGTGTGATTTTGTAGCGCACGGTGGGACACATGTTTAGAGGCATTCCAGCATATTCTCGTCAACTGTGCGAGACTCAGAAGAGCATGCGACTAGCAGGGCCTGCTAGAATCCCAGTGATCTTTGACCATTCCCTGGAGAAACACATTCTCCAGGAAATGCCAAAGTGCCACTTCAAACTGATCAAGAATTTCTTTCTTTTAGGGAAGAGGATTTTAAAATATCACATGCAGTCCTTTTAGGGTAGCAATAGATCAGTAAGTACAGTGATTCTTAAATTTTAAATTGTCGATAGATCTTAAGATATGTTACTACAATAAAGTGGGCCGGATGTTGGTATTATCAAAATTCTTTATCGGCATTCCTTTACTTTGGCCCTTCTTCTTAAAATAGTGTCAATCTTTTATAAATAACAAAAAATATCAGTAGACCATATTGATACAAAGGTGTTTTAGAACTGTAATAATCCTCCAAAAGGATAATGACCTCAGTACTCCATTTCATTTAACCACAGATGAGTAACAGAGTTAGAGAAGTGTGGGTAAATCACCGATTTTCACTCACCTTTGGGAGATTAACATTAAACATTGGTTTAACATATAAACCAATGACTATGTGATGTCTAAAGCCTTCAATGTTAAGTTTGGTGGGTCTGTCAACCGCACACACATATTCACACACACACACTCACATACATATACTCATGTACACACATACACAAACATGCACACACTTGAATACACACTCACATACGCATTCATATAACACACACACACTCTCCTACATACAATGCATAAATCTTAGAAAGATTTCTAAACTCTTAGCCCTTAGTACAACTACAGTATTCTCACCAAATTACATTCATGAGCAAGAAAAAAATTATAATCTTTCCACACAGTTTCTCTTTAATTGGTGGAATTAAATGCAGTTAATTCGAGGTAAGTTCTAGAGGCTCCTTGACTTGTGTCCTCTCTGCAGGGAGTGGTTACACTGCTGCTGGGATGCCCCAGCAGCCCAGGCACCACCTCCTTGCACAATAATGTTCAAAAGCAGGAAAGGGGCTGGGTGCAGTGGCTCACGCCTGTAATTCCCAGCACTTTGGGAGGCTGAGACAGGTAGATCACCTGAGGTCAGGAGTTCGAGACCAGCCTGGCCAACATGGTGAAATCCCATCTCTACTAAAAATACAAAACTTAGCCAGGCATGGTGGTGGCCGCCTCTAATTCCAGCCACTCAGGAGGCTGAGGCAGGAGAGCTGCTTGAACCGGGCAGGCGGAGGTTGCAGTGAGCCAAGATCGTGCCACTGAACTCCAGCCTGGGTGACAGAGCGAGACTATATCTCCAAAACAAAAGCAGAAAAGAGACTTTCTTCCCATCGTGACTCTTTTTATCATAGAGGAAATTATTCCCCAGATGTCCCTCCCCACTCCTCGATTCCGGACTCCACCCCAGACCACAGCTGGTCCATATTATTCCCATGTCTGAAGCAGTCACTCACACTCACACAGGGAGCAGAATCAAGGTGACTGATTGAAATCAGCGGTTCTCAAAGTGTGGTCCTAGACAAACAGCCTCAGTGTCACTTGAGATGTGGAAATGCAAGTTCCCGGTCGGCACCCCCAATATACTGAGTCAGAGGCTGGGAGTGGGTCCCAGCGATGAAGCCAGAATCCGATGCAGCATAGGCTGTCTGGAGCCTGCATACTTGGTACTGCATGTTGGATTAAGGCTGTAGCAGTTGAACACAGGGAAGAGTGCAGATTGTACACCTTTCTGGAGCTTCCCTCAGAGGCTCACAGGTAGAGGCAGCGTGATGCAGCAGTTCCCAGACTTTTTGATTTCAGAGACCAGAAAATTTACAGATGAAAGGCAGGTGGGGCTGCAGTCATTTTTTTGTATTTGCCAAGTCAGTATATGAAAAATATTATCATCTACTTTAGCCTTCATTTACATAATAAGAAACACCACACCAAAAAAGGATATGAAATCAGAATAAAGCACTGTCTTTTATTTTTATTTATTTTTTTTAGAGGCAGGGTTTTGCTTTGTCACCCAGGCTAGAGTGCAGTGGCGTGATCATAGCTCACTGCAGCCTTGAATAAGGACAGTCTTTTAAATAAGACACATTTAGCTTTATTGAAAGTTTACATAACATTTATCCTATTTTTCTCATTTTGCCGCTGACCAACAGAAAATATACCAGCACTTAAGAGCCACCAATGCGGGAAAAGCTCGCACTTTGTGCAAAGTCAGATCCGGTTTGAATTCTGTCTCATCTCATGTAGATGGTCTGTGGCCTTGGGAAATGTTTTTACCTTTATGAACCTCAACTTTCTCGTTACTAAAATGGGAATTATAAGTACCTTGCAGGATTTTGGTGAGATTTAGAGATAAGGAAACCAACCACCTGATCTCTGGAAGATGGGTGTCCAATCAGTGGGGGCTGGGACCATCAGAAGGCTGGCTCAGTGTTATTGACTGGGCTCATGCACGAATGAATGGCTAGCAGAGACAAAAGTTCATGATCTGTTTCCTCATTTATTTGAGACAAAAGGGACAGCTGAACTATTTTAAGCAAACCCACGTGTATGGACTAGACGACACTCAGAAGACAGGAAGGAGAGCATAGAAATGGGTCACAGAATCACCAAATTATTCTTGGGATAATTGTTTGGATTCCTAAAGTTCAACCAACCTTGGGGGTTTGTTGACCCCAAACCCCTCTGCCTTCAAGTGTTTGGAATCATTCAGAAATAATTCCAGCTGCTTAATAGCCTCTCTGTGACTGACAAAGCCCTGTTGTGAGAGGAACAAGGTATTGCAGTGTTACGTGCTGAGTGGGTGGGCAAGAGGAAGGATAGTTGTAATATCGCGGTGCAATTCTGGCACTAACCACCTGGAATTAATGCAGATTTCACAGGTTTAAGAGCAGAGTCCCCAACAAGATAGCTCTCAGTTTGGATGCCAGCTGCAAGGTTGGGGGTCCCCATACTACCTTTACTTTGATCAACTGGCTGCAAATATGAGGGTTCCTGTGACCTCCTCCAGCTCAATAATTTGTTAGAATGACTTGCCAGAACTCCGGAAAGTGCCATACTCATGATGAAGGTTATATTATATAGGAGGCTAGCCAGGGCCCACCAAATGAGGAGACATATTGGATAAGGCCTGGGAGGGTCCCACATGCAGAATATCTGTGCTGTCTCCTCCTGGAGTTACAGTGCAACACTCTCCTGGCACATTGATTCTTTTCACCAACGGGAAGGCTCCACTGAGTCTCAGCATCCTGAGTTTTTATTGGGGTTTCATTATGTAGGCATGATTGACTGAATCCTTGGCCATGTGATTGGACCCAATCTTCAGTCTCCTTCTCCTCCCTAGAGGTTAGGAGGTCAAGCTGGTCACACATGGCTCAAATCACATGTTTGGTCTTTCTGCTGATCAGTCCCCATTCCAAGTCATTCTCGTTAGCGTAAACTCAGGGGTGATCCAAAGGGTTCGTGAATAACAAAGATAATCCTATTACTCAGGAAATTCCAAGGGTTTCCTGTCTGTCTCCCCAAAATCAGGGACAAAAGCCAGTCAAATTCTTTATTTTAAAATAGTAGCTAATGGTGCAGGCATCCAGAATCTTAAACCTTGGCCTGAGATTGTTGAAACAAGACAAAAGTTAATGTATGAAGTCTCTACTACTCCCAAGCATGAACTGTAACATTAGACCACTTTTTAATTTCATCTACTTACTTATTTAGATGGGGGTCTCACTCTGTCACCCAGGCTGGAGTGCAATGGCATGATCACGGCTCACTGCAGGTTCAACCTCCTGGGCTCAAGCCATCCTCCCACCTCAGCCTCCCTAGTAGCTTGGACGGCAGACATGCACCACCATGCCTGTCTAATTCTTTTATTTTCTGTAGAGATGAGGTCTCACTGTGTTGCTCAGGCTGGTGTCGAACTCCTGGCTCAAGTGATCCTCCCACCTTGGCCTCCCAAAGTGCTGGGATTATAGGCATGAGCCATTGCACCTGGGCCTAGACCACTTTTTTTTTTTTTTTTTTTTTTTTTTTTTGAGACAGAGTCTCACTCTTTTTGCCCACACTGGAGTGCAGTGGTGCAATCTCAGCTCACTGCAACCTCCACCCCCTGGGTTCAAGCGATTCTCATGCCTCAGCGTCCCTAATAGCTGGGATTACAGGCATGTGCCACCACACCAGCTAATTTTCATATTTTTAGTAGAGACGGGGTTTCACCATGTTGGCCAGACTGGTTTTGAACTCCTGACCTCAAGTGATCCACCCACCTTGGCCTCCCAAAGTGCTGGGATTACAGACATGAGCCAACCCACATGGTCCTTAGACCACTTTTTAACTGTCACCATATTAGGCAGCTCCTACTGCCAGAACAAAATCCCATAGACTGGGTGGCTTAAACACCAACATTTATTTCTCACAGTTCTTGAGGCTAGAAGTCCAGGATCAGAGTCTCGGCAGGTTTGGTGTCTCCTGAGGCCTCTCTCCTTGGCTTGTGGACATCCGCCTTCTCCCTGTGTCCTCACTTGACCTTTCCTGTATACTGGAGTATCCCTGGTTCTCTTCCCCTTCCCAGAAGGACCCAGTCCTATAAGGACTCAGTCCCACCCATATGACCTCATGTAACCTGAATTACCTCCTAAAGATCCTATCTCCAAATACAGCACATTCTGAGGTATGCTGGGAGTAAGGACTTTGGGAATGAATTTTAGGAAGGCACATAGTTCAGTCCCTAACAGTGACCTCGAGCAAATGACCTCTTTAAGCAATTGTGAGGTATTAAGGCAGCAATGTGTGCAAAGCCACCCACCACAGAGCATCCTGAGACAGCCATGGGCCTCACTCCGTCATTTTTATAGGGACACACTGTGCTGCCTGGGATGGGCCTCTGCTTTCTGCACCTGGGAAGTCCATGCTTCACAGGAATGGTCTGCTCTGCTCTGGCTCTGAAGACAGCAGGCTCAGTGTTTCTCCAGGGAAAGTCGGGCCTCCAGCTGGGGCAGCACACGCCGGCTCAGACCTGAGTCATCACTCTGGTGTTAGGAGTCCACTCCTCCCAATCTCAAGCACTGCGGGACATGGCTGGTGGCTCAAGGCCCCCTTCCTTTCCTGAACCAGGAGCCTGTATGCCGTGAGCTATGATGTGGGCCTGGCTTGCTGAGCCTGGAGCCGGTGTGTCTTTCACATGACCATGTGGCAATCTGGAAAAGTCCATGTGTCTTAAGCTCTCAGTGTTGTACAAGCTGAAAGGAGAAAGAAAACAGGAGGACGCCAATGGTACCCAAAGCCAACTTAACTGGGGTCTCAGTGAAAACCTTAGGACTTTACAACTACATCTACAGATGCCCTCTGCATTACTCTGGTGCACGTTTTATGGCAGGAATCCTGTTGGCAGAGATGACCACAGAGGAGGATCACTCAGAAAGCATTTTCTCAAAAACTATAATTTCTTTAGTCTCCTGTTCAGGTGGATAATTAAATAAATGGTGATTTTCCCAAAATGCCTTTAGAAATGGTGGTCCTGGCTGGATGTGGTGGCTCACACCTGTAATTCTAGAACTTTGAGAGGCCAAGGTGGGAGGATTGCTGAAGGCCAAGAGTTCAAGAGCAGCCTGGGCAGGACAGCAAGACCCCATCTCTAAAAAACAAACAAACAAAAATTTTAATTAGCTAGGTGTGGTGGCATGCACCTGTAGTACCAGCTACTAAGAAGACTGAGGTGGGAGGATCACTTGAGCCCAAGAGTTCAAGGCTGTAGTAAGCCAAGATCCACCACTGTACTCCAGCCTGAGTGACAGAGCAAGACCCTATCTCTAAAAAAAAAAAAAAAAAAAAAAGGAAATTATTCTTCCAGCCAAGCCCTAAAGTCATATTAATCATTGCATTTATCTTAATCATCATTGGATGGTTTTTATTCAATGTCCTGGTTAAGGTCAGTATTTTAGACTGTATAATAAAGAAAACGGGCAATGTCCCCATCTCCCAGGAACTTACAGTCTAAGGTCCATATTGTAAGGTATGTAGCAAACAGAACATAGGCAGGCGCGGTGGCTCACGCCTGTAATCTCAGCACTTTGGGAGGCTGAGGCAGGCGTATCACTTGAGGTTAGAAGTTTGAGGCTAGCCTGGCCAACATGGTGAAACCCCGTCTCTACTAAAAATACAACAATTAGCTGGGCGTGGTGGCACATGCCTGTAATCCCAGCTACTTGGGAGGCTGAGGCACCAGAATTGCTTGAACCCATGAGGCAGAGGTTGCAGTGGGGCAAGATCGTGCCACTACACTCCAGCCTGGGCAACAGAGCGAGACTCAATCTCAAAAAAAAAAGGGAGGGAGGGGGAAGAAAACAGAACAGAGAGGAAGCAATGCAACAAACTGAGAAGCAGAGCAGCAAGAGACAAGTTTACAAAAGGAGATCATAAATGGCACATTGTGGCTGGGCGTGGTAGTTCATGCCTGTAATCCCAACACATTGGGAGGGCAAGGCAGGAGGATCATTTAGGCCCATGAGTTTGTGAACAGCCTGGGCAACACAGGGAGATCCCCATTTCTAAAAAAAAAAAAAAAAAAAAAAATTAGCTCTGCATGGTGGTGCACGTCTGTAGTCCCAGCTACTGGGAAGCCTGAGGCAGGATGGCTTGAGCCCAGGAGGTAGAGGCTTCAGTGAGCTATGATCACGCCACTGCACTCAGGCCTGGGCAACAGAGCAAGATCCTACCTCTAAATAACTAAATAAAGAGATAGCACGTTGTAATTCAGCAATCTTTCCTGTGATGTGTTAAATAGGGAGATGATTAGAGAAGAAAAGGTGTGCCCTGTTTTTCATGGAAAGGAAGGTTCTAGAAGAGCTAAGCCTGCTTTCTTCCTCCATCCCCTTAAGAGGTCTTCATTGGGCAGGTCACCATAGTAGCCACCAGATTCCTGATTGCTGTCATGTCATCAGAACAGGAAGCAGGAAGAAGAGAGTGAGGAAATGAAGGGAAGATAGAAAATATCGAACCCAACAGTTCTGTGCAACCAGAGATGTGTGTGTTAAGGGTACAACTTGCAGAAGAGGAGTGGGATTGGGATTGGATGGAGGAAAGCTGGGCGTAGTGCATGATGGTACAATATTCACATCTTCTTGTTGAATGCAAGGTTGCACTGTCAGTCAGTGTACCTGTGAACATACTGGTGCCCACAAAGAGATGAGATGGACCTTGAGTAATGACATTGCCTGAGTGGATAAGAAATTAGAAGCTGCCTCATCTGGCCAACTGTTAGAAAAAGTACAGTGGCTGCAAATGTGACCCCGTGATCTTTTGTAACTGCTGTAGTCTCCCCACTGCCAGCTTTCTGATCTGTGGAAAGCTCTAAACAGTTTCATTAAACAAGGTCAGGAATCTTGGCTGGAATTCTTGGCTTCTCAGGGCTTGTCATGGGAGAGGCCAGCACTCGAGGCCCAATCAGGACTCCAGAATCCAAGTGTCAGGGCCCCTGAACCTTGCTGGGCTCGGCCCAGTAGGCTTTGGGAGAAGTTTCTTTGCAGCTCACTGACCATATTAAGGGAGGGAGAAAGGCAGCAGTTAGGGCAGTTTAAACTGGTATTTGTAATTTTGGGTGGTTGTCTCAAAGAGCAACCCCCTTGAGGAAAGCATTTCTGGAGCCAGTATTTCCAAAAATGTGCTGGAGAGGGGTCTGCGTCAAGTAAGTTTGGGAAATGCCTCACCATCCTCACCATGTGTTCCCATGTGAGATGTGGGCACATTTGCTTAAGAACCACTGAGGAACCGGCCGGGTGCGGTGGCTCATGCCTGTAATCCCAGCACTTTGAGAGGCTGAGGCAGGCAGATCATGAGGTCAGGAGCTCGAGACCGTCCTGGCTAACACGGTGAAACCCCGTCTCTACTAAAAATACAAAAAATTAGCCGGGCGTGGTGGCGGGTGCCTGTAGTCCCAGCTACTGGGGAGGCTGAGGCAGGAGAATGGCGTGAACCCAGGAGGCAGAGCTTGCAGTGAGCCCAGATCGTGCCACTGCACTCCAGCCTTGGCGACAGAGCGAGACTCCGTCTCAAAAAAAAAAAAAAAAAAAAGAACCACTGAGGAACCCTGGAGTGAAGACCCCTGGTTAGTCAGTCTTTCCAGGCCCTCCTTGCCATGAAAAACCCTCCCTCCTGGGCCACAAACTCATTTTGGGGTATGTGACTTCTTCAGTTGTGGAGGAACAAGGACCCGATGTAATTAACACTCTGGGAAGTGCTATAACTGGCTCTGTCAAGACCATGTGAGACCTATTCCAGCTCTACTAGGGGTAACGGGTGGCTCCAAACAAGCCACTTCGCATTTCTGTTTCTCTGTTTCCTCCCCGCGCCCCCCAAAGAATTGTCAATTTCTGTACCACCTCTTTTTCCTTCCCAGGAAAACTACCAAGATCAAGGAAATGACATAAAAATGCTTTGGGCTGTGGTGTGACCAAAATGTCAGATGAGTGCTATGAGAGTTTCTTCCAAGACAGACTGATGTCCATCCCTTAAAGAATAACCAAAATCCTGGCCCGGTGCTTTGGCTCACACCTGTAATCCCAGCACTTTGGGAGGCCAAAGCAGGTGGATCACCTGAGGTCAGGAGTTCAAGACCAGCCTGGCCAACATGGCAAAACCCCGTCTCTACTACAAATACAGAAATTAGCCAGGTGTGGTAGCTCACACGTGTAGTCCCAGCTACTCAGGAGGCTGAAGCAGGAGAATCCCTTGAACCCGGGAGGCAGAGGCTGCAGTGAGCTGAGATCGTGCCACTGCACTCCAGCCTGGGCAACAGAGTAAGACTCCATCTCAAAAACAAAATCTTGAATTCTCTGCTGAAGTGTTTAGTGCCAGGCTCATAGTAGACACTCTCTAAATACTTAGTGAATTAATGAATAAAAATAATAATACAATGGTCCCCAACCTTTTTGGCACCAGGGACCTGTTTGAAGGAAGACAATTTTTCCAGACTGGTGAAAGGGGGAGGGGGATGGTTTGGGGATGATTCAAGCACATTACATTTCTTGTGCACTTTATTTCTATTATTATATTGTAGTATCTAATGAAATAATTCTACAACTTACCATAATGTCCTATCAGTGGGAGCCCTGAACTTATTTTCTTGCAACTAGACTGTCCCATCTGGGGGTGATGGGAGACAGTGACACATCATCAGGCATTAGACACCTGATGGAGCACACAACCCAGATAGCTCGCATGCACAGTTCACAATAGGGTTCATACTCCTATGAGTATCTAATGCCACCACTGATCTGAAGGGAGGTGGAACTCAGGCAATAATGCGCGATGGGGAGCTGCTATAAATACAGATGAAGCTTCACTCACTCTCCTGCGACTCACCGCCTGCTGTGGAGCCCGGTTCCTGTACTGGTCCGTGGCCCTGGGGGTTGTAGATTCCAGTAATAATATATAAGGACTATAGAACTATATGTAAAGGTATATAACCACATATAAAATGATGACTGTTTACATGCCAGGCATACAACCATTACCCTTGTAAGTTTTCACTAATTCTTGAGGACAACCGTAGGATAAACTGTTGTTATCTCCATGCTACTGTTGAGGAAACTGAGGCACAAAGAGTTAAGTAGGTTGCTGAGGTTCACACAGCTCCACGAGTGAAGTAACTGGGCTCAAAGCCAAGTTCGGCGGCCATCAAAGCCCTCCTCTTAACCATTACACTTGCCGCTGTGCTGAATGAATGCATTTTGAAAAGGATAAGAAAGCATATTTCTTTCTATGCATCCTAATGACCTCCATCTCCGGCCACCCCCTGGCAGCCTCACTCTTGGGTCTTAGATAGATGATATCATCATGACATGTTTTCCGTGCACGCTGCTATCACGGGGAATTATCTGATTGTCTGGAAGTCCATTTGCTAAAGTGGGACAAAGGGAAAAACTGGGCAGAGAAGAATTTCGGAGGTAAGAATGAGGTCTTGTGTAGTCAAGAGGGGAAATGTTAACCCTGTCAGCTTAAAAAGCCATGTGCCTCTGTCTCTCGCTCATTTAAATCACCCACTGTTAATAGCCTTCCTGGAAATGTGTCCCATGGCAACACAGGCTGGTCTCAGTTCCCTGTTCACCCCCTGTGGAGCCCCGTGCCTTGTTCTCCTGACGTGCTTTGTAATGCTGAAGATGACTCTCTGGACCAGAAATTTCAGACGCATCAATTTCGTCTTCCCTCTGCCCCGAGGGATGAAGTCAGTTCTTCAAAAGTTTTCTTTCTAACGTCAGGCTTTCAAATTCTGGTATCCTTTGACTATTCAGAGATTAATACTTAGAGGAACTCCAAGAAGCCTCCGGGGGAAGGGGCTTGATATCTCACCATTTTTCTCCCTCCTGGAGAAGAGCACAAAGGACTGTGCTCATGTCTGCAGGCCGGGTTTTATTTTAGGGAAGACGGGACTAATTTGTGTCCAGAGACCGGTTTCTTAGGAGAACTGGTTAGGCTGCCTGGCTGCTTGTTTTTTTGGTTTGGTTTTGTTTTGTTTTGTTGTTGGTGGTGGTTTTTGTTTTGTTTTGTTGTTGTTGTTGTTTTCTGAGATGGAGTCTTACTCTGTTGCCCAGGCTGGAGTGCAAGGGTACAATCTCAGCCCACTGCAACCTCCACCTCCCAAGTTCAAGCGATTCTCCTGCCTCAGCCTCCCAAGTAGCTGGAATTACAGTCACCCACCACCGTGCCCAGCTAATTTTTATATTTTTAGTAGAGACAGGGTTTCGCCATGTTGGCCAGGCTGGTTTTGTACTCCTGATCTCAGGTGATCCACCCACCTCCCCCGTGGCCTCCCAAAGTCCTGGGATTACAGGCGTGAGCCACTGCGCCTGGCCTGCTTGGTGTTTTTCAAATCAGCTTACACATTCCCAAGGAGGAGGACATGTCTCCTTCTGCACCCACTTTGGACTTAACTTTTAAGCGCCCAGACCCTGCCTCTGGGTCAGACTACCTGGCTTTGAGGCCCAGCTCCACTATGTCATAGCCGGGTGACCTTTAATATGGGAATGATCATAACAATAACATCTGCCTCATAGTGTTGTTGAGATGATTAACTGCAATTCTGTATAGATTAGTGGGCTCTTGTAAAGACTTACGAGATGCTAGGCATTGTTCTAAGGGCTTTCTCTGTTAGAAGGCTTTTGATCCTCACAACGCTCCAATGAAGCAGGTACTGATATTGTATTGACAGGTTCATTTAACCTGCCTGAAGCCACACAGTCAGTAAGGAGCTCCCAAATCTGGGCCCTTAACCACCGGGCACAGGGCAGATGCCCCATGAATGTCAGGAGTTATGTGGCCACTCTGTGAGCTCCTGAAGGTTGGTGATATGGTTTGGCTGTGTTCCCACCCAAATCTCACCTTGAATTGTAATAATTCCCATGTGTCAAGGACAGGGACAGGTGGAGATAATTGCATCCTGGGGACGGTTTCCCCCATACTGTTCTCATGGTAGTAAGTAAATCTCATGAGATCTGATGGTTTTATAAATGGGAGTTCCCCTGCACAAGCTCTCTCTTGCCTGCCACCATGTAAGACTTCTCTTGCTCTTCCACCATGATTGTGAGGCCTCCCCAGCCATATGGAACTGTGAGTCCATTAAACCTCTTTTTCTTTATAAATTACCCAGTCTCAGGTATGTCTTTATTGGCAATGTGAGAACAGTCTAATACAGTCAGGGACCATGGCTTCCTATGGCAGATCCATGGCACCCATCACCCTACCCAGCACGAGTGGGTGCTCGATAAATACTGTTCTGAATCCAGGGAGACATATGTGTGAAGGCAGACTGTACACGGAAAGGCATCAGCATTCTAATTACATCGCAAATATGCATTTCCCCACAACACAGTGATTCTTTCCAGATGCTCATTCCTAGTTGCACTCATTAGAATCAACCGATTCCCACTTTAGGAGGCTGAGGTGGGAGGATTGCTTGAGGCTAGGAGTTCAAGACCAGTCTGGGCAACATAGCAAGACCCTGTCTCTATAAAAAATTTAAAAATTAGCCGGGTGTGGTGGCATTCACCTCTAGTCCCAGCTACTTCGGAGGCTGAGGTGGGAGGATCACTCCCACCTACCCCCTGGCCTGCAGGCCTCACCCTCTAGTCCCCTAGGGGTGTGCTTGGAGATCTAGGCCATTCCCAGCTTCCTAGCAGGATCCCAAGAGTTCAAGGTTGCTGTGAGCTATAATTGTACCACTGTACTTCAGCCTGAGTGACAGAGTGAGACCCTTTCTCTAAATAAAGAAAAAGAAAAAAGAATCCACAGATTCCTCGACCCACCCAAGACCAATCAAGTCGGAATCCCGAGGGTGCCCCAGGCATCTCTGGCTTTTTAAACTGCCCCGCTGATTCTAATGTGCTCGCAAGGCTGAAATCACTAATTTAGAAGATCCAGGTGACATTTCCGCACAGACCTCCTGCTTCCTGTTCTGAAACCTCTCACTCTGGACGAAGCACGAGGGTCTGTTTGGAGGAAGGAATCCTAAGAGGGCAGTGGACAATCCTTGATGCTGGTATTGCTGTGGACACACGGGAAAGGCACTTCAATCAAGCAGCTAGAAAGGACAGCTTGGGATGCAGCTTGGAAGAGTGGCCGAGAGGGAGCAGCCGAAAGCAGGCAGGAAAAGCAGTGTCTGAGTTCACCCCCGGTGAGCTGGGCCGGCAACTCGGTTCTCTTGGTGTAATTCATTGGTTCTGCTGGTGTAATTGATCATCAGAGCCCACCTCACTCATGCACATTAGAATGGAAGTCCAGGCCAGGGTTTTCATTTTGCTTTTGTTCTGTTTGATTTTTCCCTCCACTCTGACAGAGGAAGTGAAAGTCTTGAAGATTACGTGCCAGCAGGAGATTGCTGTTGTTTGGCTAAAAAAGCCCTGAGCTCTTGGCCTGGATGAATTCTGATAGAGGCAGGAGTCCACCCAGCACTGTCTCCATTTTGGAGTAGCTCAGCCTCTCCCCCGGTGAATGCCTGGGTGTTCCCAGACAATGGCAACTGGGAGATCTCCTACCCAAAAAGGAAGCAGGATAAGGATGTAATGAGGATGTTGTTAAGAGGTTGGCATGGGGAAGGGAAATGCACAGTGGACGTGTGGAAGGAATTAACAAGCAGTAAGTAATAATTATGTGTCAAGAACTGAGTTACATGTCCCATACACCATCTTATTTAACTCCATGGTGTCCAGAAAGTTGGAGATATGATGTCCACTTTACAGAAAAGAAGCTGAAACTCTGGGAAGTGAAGCTACTGGGTCCTGATCCCACAACAGTTCAGAAAACCTTAATGCCAGTCCAAGTCTGTGACTTCAAAGCCTTCTTGTTTCCTAACAGCAATCTTAAGTTCTTATTTTATTTGTTTTAGAGACAGGACCTTGCTCTGTCACCTAGGGTAGAGTGCAGTGGTGCAATCATAGCTCACTGCAGGCCTCAAACTCCTACGCTCAAGCAATCCTCCTGCCTCAACTTCCCAAAGTGCTGAGACCTCAGGTATACACCACCATACCTGGCCAATCCTGGGATCTTCAGGCTGGGATTTGATGCCCAGGTCCCCAGATGAAGACCGGTAAAGTTGATGTCATCCAAAGAAGGTCAGAGGCATTGCGTTTGGTCTAAAACTCCACAGGGACTGTAGAAGTGAGCGTCCTGCCTCTCTGTGTGTGTGTGCCTCTTTGTCTAGCTAAGAAGTGTCAGGTCTGGAGTGATTTCTAAAAAGCAAAATTGGCCAGGCATGGTGGCTCACACCTATAATCCTAGCACTTTGGGAGGCCAAGGCAGGTGGATCACTTGAGGTCAGGAGCTCAAGACCAGCCTGGCCAACATGGCAAAACCCTGTCTCTACCAAAAATACAAAAATTAGCCAGGCCTGGTGGTGGGTGCCTGTAATCCCAGCTACTTGGGAGGCTGAGGCATGAGAATCACTTGAACCCGGGAGGCAGAGGTTGCAGTGAGCCGAGAATGTGCCATTGAACTCCTGCCTGGGTGACAGAGCGAGACTCTGTCTCTAATAATAATAAGCAAAACTTATGACACCAAGTACTCCTGTGCACACATACACACACACAGGGATGCTGCGTGACATGGAACATGAACATACATGGTCAGGCTTCCCATTTCTCTACACCTCCCGCTTTGCTTTCTCTGGTAAGTAGGGCAAGGCCTCCCATAAAGCCTTCAATGGCAATGCTGGGGTTACATTAACGTGTCGCCTTGTGCTGGTTCTGCAGGGGGCAGCACTGGTTAAAGGGAGCCACTGGAAGTGGGCTATGGATCCCACCTTCTCTGTTAAAACCATAGAACTCTGTGGCCCACAGTCAGGACAAGAACCTTGACCTCTCATCTTGGCTCAGGGCTCATTCAGAGTCTATAGTTTGGCTTTGGAGAAGCTCTGGGAGAAAGATGCATGCTTGCTGTTTTTTCACCTTCTTGTTCTAACGCTGTCGCCTTCCCAATTCCTTGACTCCTTCTGGAGTCTGTCAGAGGGGCTGGAAAAGCAGCAGCCCAGACAACAAAATCTCTTTTGTGCCTGTGACCTGGATGGTAGTGACCCTTCCTCCTGCAAATGGAGGGAAGGAGGGCCGAGGAGGGACAGCGCCCTGCCCGATGGATGCTCTGCCTGGCAGTCAGTGACACTTGTGGCAGTGAGGTCATGGCCTTAGATGATTTCTCTCTCTGCAGACTGACACACTGTTATGAATGTAAAGCGCGTTATCTCCTCCAGAGAGAACATGTAAGGCTAAGAGAAAGGAAGAGAGAGAGAGAGAGCTAGGGCATGTGGGGAAGCACACAGTCAAATCCCCAGGTGAGGTCACTGCTAGGATCCGATCAGGTGCCAGCGACAGGAAGGGGTCAGAGGTCTTCTGCACTGCATGCAAATCATTTCCTGAAAAGTCTTCAAGGTCAGTGTTTCCAGTGGCCTGGCCAGGCCCCCGATTTATTTTGGTGAAACACTTATGGCAAGAAGAGTCAGGCAGGTGACAGAAGCAAAGATGGGGATCCATGCCTTTCTCCTGGCTCTCCTGAATTCCCACAGATGGGTCTTCCCTGCACATGTTCAGCTCCACTTACTAAGGGTGGTTGGGGCTAAAGGTGATGGACCTAGGCTGCACCCATATCTACAAATAGAGGTTTCCAGTGGTGAAAGACAGCCCTGAAACCTACTGAGAGAGAAGGCATCCCTAGCATTAGGAAGCATTGAATTGAGCAGGAGTTAGAACCAGCAGGACATATGAAGTCACTGAAGGCTCCTGTGAAGATTGAGAAGGGCTTGGACGTGGGAACAGAACTCAAGGGAACACTGGTTTTTGCTTTTTGCCTTTTTTTGAGATGGGACCTCACTCTGTTGCCCAGGCTGGAGTGCAGTGGCACAATCATGGCTCACAGCAGCCTCAAACTCCTGTGCTGGGACCACAGGCACACGGCACCACACCCAGCTAATTTTTTTATTTTTTGTGGAGATGGGGTCTCACTTTGTTGCCCAGGCTGGTCTCGAATTCCTGGCCTCAAGGAGTCTTCCTGCCTCGGACCCCCAAAGTGCTGGGATTAGAGGTGTGAGCCACCATGCCCTGCCGGAAGAATGTTTTTCGTTTTGTTTATCAATGTGAAAGCTTCTCCTGCTAAAATCCTATTCCACCTCACCATTCACTCCTTCATTCATTGATCCATCCAGGCCATCATTTAACACTCACCATTTGGGTGAGGCTTGGATGTGGAGAAAGGGGAATGCTTATACACTGTTGGTAGGAATGCAAATTCATGCAACGTCTATGGAAAACAGTATGGAGATTTCTCAGAGAACTAAAAACCAAAGAACCATTTGACCCAGCAGTCCCATTACTGGGTATCTACTCAAAGGAAGATAAATCATTATATCAAAAAGATACCTGCACTTGTATGTTTATCACAGCACTATTCACAATAGTAAAGACATGGAATCCACTTAAGTGTCCATCAATGGACACTTGGATAAAGAAAACGTGGTGGCCTGGTGCAGTGGCTCACGCCTGTAATCCCAGCACTTTGCGAGGCCAAGGCGGGCGGATCACCTGAGGTCAGAAGTTCAAGAGCAGCCTGACCAACATGGAGAAACCCTGTCTCTACTAAAAATACAAAATTAGCCAGGCATGGTGGCACATGCCTATAATCCCAGCTACTCGAGAGTATGAGGCAGGAGAATTGCTTGAACCCAGGAGGCGGAGGTTGCAGTGAGCCAAGATGGTGCCATTGCACTCCAGCCTGGGCAACAAGAGTGAAACTCCGTCTCAAAAAAAAAAAAAAGAAAGAAAGAAAGAAGAAAACATGGTATACATATACAATGGAATAGTATTCAGCCATCAAAAAGAATGAAATCATGTTTTTTGCAGCAACGTGGATGGAACTGGAAGTCATTAAGTGAAATAGCTCAAAAACAAAAAGCCAAATACACATGTTCTCACTTAAAGTGCACACGTGGACGTGGAGTGTGGAATAATAGACATTGGTGACATGAAAGTGTGGGAGGGGGTGAGGGATGAGAAATGACCTAATGGGTACAACGGATGCTATTTGGGTGATGGATACACTAAAAGCCCAGACTTTGCCACTGCATAGTATATCCATGTAGCAAAACTGCACTTGTACCACTTCAATGTACAGAAATAAGAAAAAAAGAGATGTGGATAATACCATCCCTGCTTTCAAGATGTTGCCATCCTTGAAAAGGCATGGATTTAGAAAAAAAGATGGAAATGTGGTAGGACAGTGCCTCAGACGAGGCCTGCTGGAGCTTGGAGCACTCTGAGAGCCCCGCCATGAGCAGCTGAGCAAGGCAGCTCTCTCTGCAGAGGGGCTACAGAGCGGGGTCTTGCATAAATGGTATTTGGGCAGTAGAGACAGGGGAGGGGCTTCGAGCCCAAGGGGCTCGGAGCAGCCAGACAGCAGTTGAGCCCAGCATTAAAGAGCAGGGCTCCCCGAAGCAGGCAGGAGCAGAGGGGCCCCTTCTCCCTCCTCCTCTCCCACTCCTCCTGGCGTGCGGGCCTCACCCTCCAATCTCCTGGGGGTAGGCTTGGAGATCTAGCCCATTCCTTGCTTCCTGGCAGACTTACAGACTGCCGGAACCTCCGAACCCCTCTCTCAGATCCCAGGGCCCTTGGCTCAGCTCATCTGCTTTTGCTTTCTTGACCGTGATTTTCTGAACATTCCTACCTCTTGGCTTATCAGTCTGCAGGAGGCTGTTTCGCTTTGCCTGAATTGAGACTGACTTCATATTTATTATGTGGTTTGGCTTCAGAATCAAGACAAAATGTCAGTGCCAAGCTGCCTAATGGCCGACATTAGCATGCGTTAAAAACCTAATAAAACATCGCCTCCAAAATTTCAGGCCAAATTCGCTTATGTAAATGTCTAACATCAGGTCTCACCCAGAATATCCTGTCGGGTTTCGGGAGATGGGCTTGAAATCTGCCCCAGGCTGTGGGAACGGCGCAGATCGTGCTTGTGTGCTGGGCTTTGCTGGGGGCTAGACCATGAGACATTTCATGCCAGCCACATTTCTGGTTTTCTCTGAAACTGTGTTGAAGCCATGATGCCTGATACCCCTTATGTGTACTTCTTGGAAAAAGCTAACCCGTTTCTTTTGTCTGCTAACGAAGCTTGTGTAACCTCGCGAGATCTCCCTCCACAGAGTCCAATTCTGTGCCCTGCAGTAGAAATTCATTTGTCTCATAAATGCCTCACCGTCTTCAATGGACTTTGTCTTACTTAAGTTCCTAATCCCCCTATTCTGTGCTATTTTGAATTCCGTAAACCTCCTCTAAACCTTTGGAAGTATGTAGAATATAGAATAAATTAATATTTTCAGTCCAGGATGGAGGGTGTTACAGACTCAAGTTTTCTTTGGACCCGAGGACACGTGTCTGTTTTCATCCATTAATTACATGCCAGAAGGGAAGGGGCTGTGTGGCTTTTACATCCTTGCTCGCCTGACTTTCATGAAAATGCTGTTTAGGAATAAATATTTTTCAGCCCAGAGTTGATCTTCCCTCTTTAGCCTCCCGGGAGAGCAGTATCGGTACTGTACTTTTTCATTACTCTTCTAGCCCAGTAAGGGTGTCTTTTTAATTGTATCGAAAACGACATCATCAGCTGAGCAAAATGTATCTCTCTAACATGCACCTGCCAGTCATCCACAAGAGCCATGGGGAGGTAACGCTTTAGGGAGAGGATTCACAGGGGAGAGCACTTAGGGAACTTCCAACTTAAATGAAAAGCCAGTGCCATGTCTCTGGGCGTATCACTGGGGCCGGAGAGGGACTTCTTTTTCTTCTGGCCAATAAATGGAATTTTAACCCCAAAGAACCAATAGGCAGAGACAGGTGCAAGGAGGAGAAATCCTATAGTAGATGCAGCGGGTATTTCTGAGCAGACACTGGGAATAAGAAAGTATGCTGTGTAGGGCAAGGCTGCTCAAATAAGTTTAATTCCAAGGGAAGTGGCCTGCGTTCTATTCCCCTCACCGTGTAGTGATGATTTATTCATGGTTCCCGAGATGAAGGATGACAGCTCACCCTGAAGGGTATTTAGATTCTGATCAGAGAAGGTCTTTGTCAAAGTGAGGAGGGGATAATTTTAATAGGGATTCAGTTACTGATTAAGAAGAAAGGGGGAACCCTCATTTACTGAGCACCTCTCATGTACCAGGTCCCTTGTGAATGATCATTTATTGAGTCCTCGTGACAGCTTTGGGAGGTAGAGGTTATTGTTGCAATGTTCAAAGTGAGGCAGATGCTGATCAAGGTACACATCGGGTAGAACTGGCTTTCAGAGCCCTGAAGGCCGATTACAAATTCACCACCCAGATTCCATGAAACAGACACGTTTTAGGAGAATCACAGCACAGTTATCCCTTGGCATCCACAGGGCATTGGTTGCAGGACCCTGCTAAGATACCAAAATCATCAGATGCTCAAGTCCGTTAGATGCAGTAGTTCCTTCTTATCTGCGGTGTTACTTTCCACGTTTCAGTTATCCACAGTCTGAAATGATTCAATACAAGATTCCAGAAATAAACCATCTGTAGGTTTTAAATTGGGTGCCATTCTGAGTAGCATGAGGAGATCTCATGCTGTCCTGCTCCACCCTGCCCAGGACAAGAATCATCCCTTTGTCTGGCATTGCCACACTGTATAGACCAGTGATCCCCAAGCTTTTTGGCACAAGGGACCAGTTTCATGGAAGACAGTTTTTCCATGGACCAGGGTGGGGAGGGGCAAGGATGGTTTCAGGATGAAACTGTTCCACCTCACATCATCAGGCACTAGTTAGATTCTCATAAGGAGCATACAACCTAGATCCCTCGCATGCACAGTTCACAGTAGGGTTCGGGTTCCCGGGAGAATCTAATACTGCTGCTTAGGTGGTAATGCTCGCTTGCCCACTGCTGTGCAACCCAGTTTCTAACAGGCCACGGACCAGTACTGGTCTGCGGCCCGGGGTTTGGGGACCCCTAGTGTTGACGCTCCCCACCTTTAGTCAGTTAGTAGCCATCTCAGTGATCTGATCAACTGTCTCAGGATGGCAGCACTTGTGTTCAAGTCAACCTTACTTGATTTCATAATGGCCTCAAAGTGCAAGTGTAGTGATGCTGGCATCTGTTAGAATTGTTGTATTTTATTATTGGTTATGGTTGTTAATCTCTTACTCTGCCTACTTTAAAAATTACACTTTATCATAGGTATGTATGTATAGGACAAAAAGCAGTATATATAGGGTTTGGTGTTACCCATGGTTTCAGGTATCTACTGGGAGTCTTGGAAAGTGTCCCCCAGGAATGAGGGAAAAATGACTGCAAAGTGTGATGTCATTTGCATATAACCTAGACACATCCTCCTGTATACTTGAAATCATCTCTTGATTACTCTTTTTTTTTTTTTTTTTTTTTTGAGACAGAGTCTTGCTCTGTCACCTAGGCTGGAGTGCAATGGCACAATCTCGGCTCACTACAACCTCTGCCTCCCGGGTTCAAGCGATTCTCCTGCCTCAGCCTCCTGAGTAGCTTTGATTACAGGCATGCACCACCAGGCCCAGCTAATTTTTTTGTATTTTTAGTAGAGACGGGGTTTCCCCATTTTGGTCAGGCTGGTCTCAAATTCATGACCTCAAGTGTTCCACACACCTCAGCCTCCCAAAGGGCTGGGATTACAGGTGTGAGCCACCGTACCCAGCTGTTACTCTTAATACTTAGTGTGATGTAATGCTATATAGTTGTTATACTATATTGTTGTGTTATTTATTATTGGTGTATTGGTTTTTATTTTTATCTTTATTTATTTATTATTTTTTGTTTTGAGATAGAGTCTTGCTCTGTCACCCGGGCTGGAGTGTAGTAGTGCAATCTCAGCTCACTGCAACCTCCACCTGCTGGGTTCAAGCAATTCTGCCTCAGCCTCCTGAGTAGCTGGGATCATAGGCACGTGCCACCATGCTCAGCTAATTTTTTTTTTTTTTTTTTTTTTGTATTTTTAGTACAGATAGGGTTTCACCATGTTGGCCAGGCTGGTCTTGAACTCCTGACCTCATGATTCACCCTCCTTGGTCTCCCTTAGTGCTGGGATTACAGGCGGGAGACACCGCACCCAGCCTGGTTTTTTTGTTTTTAAGTATTTTTGATCCATGGTTGGTTGAATATACAGATGCAGAACCTGTGGATATGCAGGGTTGACTGTACTAATATTTTTTCTGTAACTTAATCTTGGAAGTGATATATTATTATTTTTTAACCCCCTCTGAACTTGGCTCTCACCACCATCCTGCTAAAAGGCAAGCTTTCCCTTTCCAGTCTGATGGCAATAGAGACACAGTCTTCGAATGCCAGCCACAGCTGAGGATAGCAGATGTCATACGAGCCACACCTTCCGTCCGTTACACTGGAAAAGTAGCAAGTGGCTGGTCCCTGTGTTCTTGGTTGACAGACACTCTTCTCTGCTCTTCCTTGAACATCGAGCAAATGGAATAATTCAGTGTGCAGTGTCATGAAGATATCTAGTTTGAGTTGGTCCTGGTGTCATTTGGCCCCGTGGAAAGGTACCAATCTGCCAATGTGTCATTTGATCTTATAGAACATACCTCACCTCCCAGTGAGTGCACGGGCAGCTTTTATCAGAAATAGTGATTTATTACTCACTGCAGGACAAGATGGGGTCATCACAGAGTCTGCAGGGCAGGCTTTCTTTTAACAACAACAACAAAAAAATGGAAGTGGCAGACCAGATGGCCATGGAAGATGGAGCTTGGAATCCCAAGATGTTGCTTCGTTTATCATCCCCATATTTTCTATAAATATCTCAGAATTTGGGCTGCAGACTTGGCAGTCCTATCTGGCAGAGGCAGGTTGAGCACTGCCTGTCTTTTTCTGTTTTCTCCTTACCGAAACAGTTATCATTTCATTAATGCAGAGAGGCTTGCCAAGGGGAGCCACGCTAGACTCACAGTCCTGGTGACATTGCCCTGAGCAGGCTGGAGTCTGGGGGTTGCTCTATTCATCAGGAGGCCTCCCTAATGAACACCTGCCCGCCTCCCAGAGTCCCCCGGGGATCATGAATAGAGCAGGCTCCCCAGCCGGCTGGCTGGCTTGTGAGCACTTTGCATTTCTAGAGGAGCAATCATTATGTACGCCTGTCAAAGCCTTCCCATTGGGCATCATTCAAATGCATGGATGAGAAAGCCTCCCTCCCACATGGGTATCAGTCCCAACTTTTCAGAGAACACAGGGACCAGACTGCATCTTAGGAAAATATGGAAGAAACTATGTGGAAATAAGAAGATGACACCCAGGGAATAAAAGCATAAAGGGGAAGGAGAGGGACAAATGGGGAGACTAAAAGCATTGCTCCCAGGGAGACCTCACCCCTGGGTTAAATGGCAGAGTCACTTGGAAGGAGAGAGAGAAGGAGGGGAGAGAGAAGGAGCTATTAAAGGGAGCTGTGACTTTGTTGGTTTGGGGAGGAGTTGGGTGAGGAAGAAGAGGGCACAGATATAGGGTTTGGGAATAGGGACATGACATATCCTTTCCTGGGGACACAAGTATCTGTCACAGGCCCCTTCATGGCTGCCTGGAGCTGTGTGATCTGATTGAAACCCAGTGGCTCTCTGGCATCAGTGAGCATGCGACACCTGGTCCCATCTGGCTCTGTGCAGCACCGCAGTCTCTGCCTAGCAGATCTCTCCTTCAAACCAGCTCAAGAGGGTGTCCAGGTTCCATCCTGTCTCGTGGTAGAACAACTGCATATGCCACCCTTTATTCTGTCCCATTCTACCAATAGGAAACTTTCATTAGGCACCTACTGTGTGTCAGGGACTGTATTGGGGTGTAAGTCCACAAATGTCGATCAAATGTGATCCCTCCCTTCCAGGAACTTACTGTCTGGCAAAATTCTATTGCATTTAGAAAAGGTGGCTTGGCTTTTGACTTCAGGAGAGGCTGTTATTTGCTAGATCTGAACCCCAGAATTTAAAAGCAAGCAAAGCTTTGTTTAGGAGATCTATTGTACATCGTGGTTATTGTAGCTAATAACGATGTCTTCAATGCTTGAAAATTGCTGAGAGTAGTTTGGAAATGTTCTCGCTACAAAAATCGTAAGTATGATAGGTGATGGATATGTTTATTAGCTTGATGGGTCAGCCCACATGTGCATATACATGAAAACATCATGTTGTACATCACAAATAGATACATACATATAGATCTATGTGTGTACATATGTGTGTGTGTATGTATATATATATATATCGTTTCCATTTCTGTCAGTGACCACTTTTACCCCTTTCCTTGATGTACTTTGTTTCTTTCCTTCCTGCTTCGGATCTTCGAGACCTGCTCTGTCCCCTAAGTGTAACATTAGCGGGGGCAAAGGATGGAGGTGTGGCGGGCACTTCGGGGCCACCTCACCTATGCTGGTAACCAAGGTGCCCACCCTCGTCCTGGACAGGTTTCTGGCCTCCTCTAGGCTTTCCTTTCTGCTGCCGTCATGAAGTGGGCTGGGCAGATGGTCTCTCTGGCTCTTCCTATAATCCTGGGTGACCCATGCCCACCTGTGTGCCGCGGTTCAGTTCTCCCACTGATTCGCTGTGTGAATTTGGCGAGTTGCTTCTCTGGCTGTATCTCAGTTCCCTCTATCACATGGGGGCAATCCTGGTGTCTACTTCAGGTGTTTCTGGTTTCTAGGGCTGGCTGCATGAATTCATGTGAAGTAGCAGCTGCAGGCGGGGACAGGTGGGCAGTGTTGTTGGCAGCTTTGCTGTTCTGCTGCAGCGATGTGATGCCACTGTCACTCCTAGACTAGAGGTAAAGGATTTGTCTCATGTGCACGAATGGATCCCGGTTCAGGCTGGGCAGGGACCTCTGGGTAAAGAGATGCCACCTCTGGCAGGCGGGTCTCTGATCTTGGCTTCGGGGTCTCTCCTACCTGTTCTGGGTGCCTGAGAGCCAAGACAGTGCAACTCCATTGTTCTTCACACCCGTCTGCCTACAGGAAGTAGCCTCCCTGTGTCCCCTGCCACAGAACCCAGGGCTGTGCTGGAGAGGCAGGAAGGAAACCAGCCTTCCCAGCTAAGCAGCAGGGCGACAAGGAGGGGAGTCGCCGCCCAGACCTGCTGGCCACACAGTGGACAGAGCTGCACAGAGTCACCTCATGCACCCCCCGCAGCAGCTTCCCCTCCCCGGGAATAATGAGCAGCCGCTGAGCCATTGCTGGGCTCAGAGCCCCCATGGGGATGGAGAGGGACACACAGTGACAGCCCAGGCTTCAGACCCGGCAGCTTGCTCAGGCTCATTTATTCAAAGCTGCGCTCCTTCCCCTGCTCTTTCCCTCTGGGTTTTCCGAAAAGCTAACCCCGGCCCCTCCTGTCCAGAGAGATGGGGGCAGACGGGCCACGTTTCACAGTCACTCCCAGACAGCCCCTGTCTGCCATCCCACAGCTGCACCCACTCCTAAAGGGCAGGGAGCCACCCATCCAGCAGGTCCCGGGGTCCCGGGCAGAGTGGATGGGCAGGCAGTGCTGGGCACAGAGCGGCGGCTGTGGCTGTGCCATCCGGCCATGCGTGTCCAAACCCTGGCAGCTTAGCAGTCACTGGGGGCTCTGCAGTGACAAAGGGATTGTCAAAAAACACCCTTGGCGAAGAGCAGGAGCTGAGAGTGTCACTCTTCAGAGGAGACCGTGGTTCCTCCCAAAGCACAGATGGGAGTCACCTGATGGTTACTGCTTGTTTGCTGTTTGAATTTTTTTTTTTTTTTTGAGATACAATTAACTCAGAAGTGGCAACTCTTTTGACTTAGAATCTGTGAGATGCCCCAAGGGAATAGGTTAACAAGAAGAAGCTTAAGGGGCCTGCTTCACCATGGAGTGACCCAAGGTCGGCTGAGACCAAGGCCCGCCTGCCTTCCCAGCCCAGAGTGCCACAGGGACAGTGGAGAGAGAACACCAATGTCAATGCAGGCTTCGCACTGAGATCACTCATGTCACAACCAACCAGTGCTGAGTTCCCTTCAATTACACGGAAACGAGGTCTTCGGGGTTTCCATCTGAGGGTGTATGAGTTTCCTGTGTCTGCCATAACAAATAACCACAAACCTGATGGCTGGAAAATAACAGAAACTCACTCTCCCAAATTTCTGGAGGCAGCTGGAGGGGACAATCGCTTCCCCACCTCTTCCAGCTTCTAGTGACTGGGGTTCCTCGCCTGTGTCTTCATCACTCATCACTCAGGTCTCTGCCTCTGTCTTCTCTCCTGTATGTCTGTTTTTAAAAAACCCTCTGTATCTCTCTTATAAGGAGGCAATATATCCCAGGACCTTGGGAGGCCAAGGCAGGTGGATCCCTTGCGCTCAGGAGTTCGAGACCAGCCTGGCCAACATGTTGAAACGTCATCTCTACTAAAAACACAAAAAAATTAGCTGGGTGTGGTGGCACATGCCTATAATCCCAGCTACTTGGGTGGCTGAGGCATGAGAATTGCTTGAACCTGGGAGGTGGAGGTTGCAGTGAGCTGAGATCATGCCACTGCACTCCAGCCTGAGATCGTGCCACTGTACTCCAGCCCGCACTCCAGACCCCATCTCAGAAAAAAAAAAAAAAAAAAGGAGACAATATAATGGCACTTAGAGCCCACCAGGATTAGTTCCTCCTCCCAAGGATCACGTCTTTTGTGATGAAAGGTAATACTCACAGGTTCCAGTGACTGGGATGGGTACATATGTTTTTGGGGACCACCATTCAACCTGCTATAGAGTGTAACAAATCATGTCACACAAAGTTTACCACAACACAAGAGCACATGTGCCAAGTGTGACTAAGCTGCCTGTGTTGAGTGCTGTAGAAATCCAGAGGAGGGAGAGAGCATTTGTAGGCAGGATGGTCAGGGAGGGCTTCATGGAGGAAGTGGGCTTTGAGCAGGATAAAATTTAAATGGGAAGGGGGAGGGGGAGAATGGAATGTACAAAGATTTGGAAATAAAAATGAGATCAGTGTTTTCTTTAGTTCAATCAAATAGATTGAACAGAAATGGATATTTTTGTAGGGAACTGGGCAAAAGTGAGGTTGGATAGGTAAACTGGGGCTGGGTTCATAGGGTGGTCTTAAATACCAGGCTAGCATTTAGAACTTGATACTATATGGAGTGGGGATTTTGTTTTGTTTTGTTTTGTTTTGTTTGAGACAGAGTCTCACTCTGTCACCCAGGCTGGAGGGTAGTGGTGCGATCTCGGCTCACTGCAACCTCCATCTCCTAGGTTCAAGCGATTCTCGTGCCTCAGCCTCTCGAGTAGCTGGGATTACAGGCATGAGCCACCACGCCCAGCTAATTTTTTTGTATTTTTAGTAGAGACAGGGTTTCACCGTGTTGGCCAGGCTAGTCTCAAACTCCTGGCCTCAGGTGATCTGCCCACCTCGGCTTCCCAAAGTCCTGGGATTATAGGCGTGAGCCACCGTGCCTGGCCATACATGGAATTTTTTAAATAATTTATGATTAGGATCTGAAATAATGAATACAAGTAACGTTCCATGCCAGGCATATTCTAAGTACTTCATATAGATCAGACTAATTTATTTAATTCTCAAAACAGCCTTGTGACCTGGGTATAGTCATTATCCTCATTTAATAGCTGAGAGGAAACTGAGGCACAGAGAGGTTTAGTAACTTACCTGAAATTATATAAGAAAGACAGGATATATTAACTGACTAGATTCAAGAGATCATGAAGGATGCAGATGGTGTTCAAGTTTTTTCGAATGGGTGAATAACACTCTTAGGAAGGCAGGATCGTTTGTAGGAAAGGAAGAAGCTAAATTTAATAATAACATAAGGAATAAAGGCTGGGTGCATTGGGTCACACTTGTCATCCCAGCACTTTGGGAAGCCAAAGAAAAAGGGTCACTTGAGGCCAGGAGTTCAAGACCAGCCTGGGCAACATAGAAAGAATCCATCTTTACAAAAAAAAATTTTTTTTTAATTAGCCAGCCATGGTGGTACATACCTGTAGTCCCCCCCTACTCAGGAGACTGAAGCTGGAGGATCACTGATCCCAGGATTGGAGGCTGCAGTGAGATATTATGGCACCACTGCACTCCAGCCTGGGCAACAGAATAAGTCCCTGTATCTAAAAACAATAATAATAATAACATAAATAATGTCTTAGTATAGGAATTCTTTTTATGGTACAGTAGTCCATCATTGTACAGATGAGAAAACTGAGGCCCAGAGAGCTTGCGTAATTTGTCTAAGATCATCTATCTGGATAGACACATGTCAAGTTTAAGTTGGTGGCATAATATATAAGTGATGGTAAATACCAGGCTAGCATTTAGAGCTTGATACTGTATGTAGTATAGTATACTGTGGAATATAGTATTCTGTGAGGAATTGGTGAGGTGCCTGGGTGCTACCTCATCCTTGAATTCCTTTCCCCAGAATTTACCTGAAGGGCTCATGGAAGTCACCTGAAAGGATGTTGTCATGTGGGTGTGTGTATTAGTCTGTTCTCATGCTGCTAATAAAGACATACCTGAGACTGGGTAATTTATAAAGGAAAGAGGTTTAGTGAACTCACAGTTCCACATGGCCTCACAATCACGGCGGAAGGCAAAGGAGAAGCAAAGGCACATCTTACATGGCGGCAGGCAAGAGAGCTTGTGCAGGGGAACTCCCGTTTATAAAACCGTCAGATCTTGTGAGACTTATTCATTACCATCAGAATAGATGGGGGAACCACACCCATGATTCAGTTATCTCCACCTGGCCTCGCCCTTGACACCTGGGGATTATTACAATTCAAGGTGAGATTTGGATGGGGACACAGCCAAACCATATCAGTGTGCCTAGAGCGCTTTACAGCCCTGCAACACGTTAAGTGCTGTTTTGATCATTCTAGTTAGTCGTGTCCTGCCTGGAAGAAGCAGGCCAGGAAGTAGTCAGGACCTGATCTGGAACCCTGTAATATGCTGGGAACGTGAACAGTTCCCACTGGAATCATCCAGTGTTCTCAAGAACTCAGATCTGGGTCCTGGAGCCACAAAGCACTGACTGAGAGCTCCTCTCCTTTCTTCCCTAAGTATTTAGAACCAGTGCTTTCCTTTCCTTGCTAAAGCACATGGCTGAAGCCCAGGTTTCTAAGCCCAGTTGGTGTTGGAAAGACTGTCCTATTAGCTCTGTGAGTGGTGCCACTGAGAAGTATATGTTAAGGAGGGATGTTTGCAAGGAGGTTTTATTTGTCAGGTATCAGGAGAAATAAAAGCTAAGAGGGACAATGGAAAAAGATTTTGAGATACAAAAAGAAAAGAGAGAAACTATTTGATTGAACAAAGCTAATTATGGGCTAAGAGAAAGCCAGTCTTAGATGTAATGACCTCTTAGGGCCAGGACGGCTGATGGCCCACAAGAGGCTAATTCTGACAAACCCAGGGAGCACAGGCTGCCTTGCTCACGTGGCCTCTGGGCTCCTGCCCAGATTGTCCAATAGAATGCGATTGGGCTACTAGCTGCCTTTCTGGCCTTGCTCCCAGTCCGATCCCTGCAAAGCTCCACAAATGTTTACAGCACCAGTAATTGGCAAATTATACTCAGCGGGATTCTGTAAACATCCCTTCAAAGCACATAAGAGCAGATTGCTTTCTGCTTGCCCAGCAACTTTCTCTGAAGGAGTTTAAGAAACTTTCAGAACAATGTAGTATATTAATCACTGTCACATCAGCGGGGGATATTGTCTTCATTTGCAAGATCAGGAAATCAAGGAGCTGATGCCACAAATTGTTTTAAATCAACTGTACAGAAAATAAAAGACTCAGTGCCTGAATCAATCAGGATAGGCTAGGTTATGCTGCAATGACAAACAACCCCCAATGTCTCTGTGACTTAAACAGTGAAACAATGATGTGTATTTCTCACTCTCACTACATGCCCATCCATCAACTCTCACTCTCATTGACAGAGCAGCCACCTTCTGGGCTGTTGCCAGTCACCATGACAGCAGAAAAAATGTGTGTGGCTTTAAAAGCAGCTAAGAGTCAGGAGTTGTAACCTCAACATCTTCTGGGATCTATTTTCTCCCTCTTCACGGCCTTTACTTCTCCATTTGTAAATTGCAAGTAATAAATGTAGGCTTTTCTTCCTGGAAATTGATACATATGGTCTATAATAACTGTTGTGTAAAGTAATGGGACTGACCTTTTAAATTTTTTAACAAAAGATATAAATCCAGATAGGTACAATTGTTGAAAAAGTTTATTTGAAAAGATGAAGTTTGTTCCAGCCAGGCAGCTACTGCTCAGAGCCTTTTCCTTGACTTCAGTTTATGAGTCACCAAGAAAACTTGTTTTCTTATTGTAGTGTGACAGGCTAAATCAGAGAGACATATCACCATGGTAAGGCAAAAACTCAGTCTCCAGAAGGCTTCCATGGTGGTATCCATTACTCTGGTGAATTCTTCAGTGTGTTAAGCCATCTCTTTATTCTGCAGGCTCAGAAACCTGATTTTTCATTCTCAGGGGAAGACTCACATTAACCAGGTTGAAAGTACTGATGTATAAATCCATAATGTCAGTGCACTGGTTTCAAGTGAGTCATGTAGCCCTCACTCAGCCAGGGCCCTTGAGGCACGATCCTTAGGCTCTCACCCTGGAAGCAGGGTCAACAGAGGTAGAGTGGCAGAGGGATTACACATGTGGGCTTTGAAACTATCAGACCTCCTTTCCCCCTTTTTCCTTTTTTTTTAATTGTGTCAAAATACATGTAACATCAAACACCATTTTAACCATTTTCGTATGTGCAATTCAGTGGCATCAAATGCATACACAATGTCATGTAACAATCACTAATATTTCCAACACTTTTTCATCATCCAGTACAGAAATGCTGTAACCATTAAGCAATAACCCCCCATCTGCCACCACCTCAGCCCGTGACAACCTCTATTCTGTTGTCTCTATGAATTTGCCTGTTTAATTACCTCATCTAAGTGCAATCATACAATATTTGTCTTTTTGTGTCTGGCTTCTTTCACTTAGCATAATGTCTTCAGGTTCCATCCACGTCAGGATTTCATTCCTTTTTAGGGCGAAATAATATTCCATGCTGTGTATCTCAACCTTGTTTTGAATCCCAGCTTGGCTGTGAGACCCAGGACAGCCTGCCTGGTATCTCTCAGTCTCAGAATCTTCTTTGGCAAAAGAATGATAATCTCTATTCTGGATGATAATGAGTTCATATATGAGGGACATATCCAGGATGTAGGTGTTCCTTGGGAGGCATGGAATTAGGAGAGTTCAATGTAACATGATCAGCTAAAGTAACCCCAAGCCTCCATTTCTGCCACATAAAAGGCCTTACCACCCGGTAAGGGACCCAAATATTCAACACCTATTGGCTAAGATCACGTTTGCTTCCTGGGTTCATCTCCCTTCCCCAACTGCACCTCCCACCCTGCCTCCACTTACCCCCTTCCATTCAGGCCCAATCATTCTATGGAGTGATGAACATATGTTCTAGATAAACTATGCCAGCACTGGGAATCATTCTTTCTCTTTCTGGGCAAACTTATGTATCTCTGATCAAATCTGTTGAGATGTAGGCTTTAAAGTTTAGCTCTCTTTTTTTTCTCTCTCTCTTTCTTTCTCTTGCTCTCTGTTTCTGTCTCTCTTTCTTTCTTTCTTTTTTTTCTCTCTCTCTTTCCCTTTCTTTCTTTTTTTTTTTTTTTTTTTTTTTTTTTGAAACAGGGTCTCACTCTATCGCCCAGGCTGGAGTGCAGTGGCATGATCATAGCTCACTGCAGCCTCAATTTCCTGGACTCAAGCAATCCTCCGGTCTGAGCTTCCTGAATAGCTAGGACTAGTCCCAAGTGCATGCCATCATGCCTGGCTAATTTTTAAATTTTTTTTTGTAGAGATGGGGTCTTGCTATATCGCCTCTGGGCTTAAAGGATCCTCCTGCCTCAGCCTCCCAAAGTGCTGGGATTATAGGCAAGAGCCACTGTGCCCAGCCTTAAAGTTAAAATCTCAAAAAGAACAAAATCTTATTTTTATTGTTTTCAAGTTTGGACCAGACCTCTCACCATAATCCCCAAGAACCCACAATAATTACTTTGTAGTCACACTTCATTTTATGAAACTGGGTTGACCAGGCATAATCACCCATTCCTCCTCCTCTATCTCTGTTCACTAGACTTGACTTTAAGTGACTTTTGGCATTTGAAAAAAAAAATCAAATCCATTCTCGAGCACAGGAAGATTTATCACCAGTGAAAACGCGTTGACAAATCTGACACAAGCCTCAAGGGCAAACCCAAAAGATTATCAAAAATGTTTCAAGAAATAGCAAGCATCAGAGAAATACAGTGACTACTTTGAAAGCGGTAGCAATCATTTGGACAGGTAAATTATATCACAGACTGTCCCTAACCTATGATGGTCTGACTTATGATTTTTCTACTTTACACTGGTGCAAAAGCAATGTACTTTTAGTAGAAACTGTACTTCCAATTTTGAATGTTGATCTTTTCCCAGGCTAGCAGTACGCGGTACAATACGCTCTGGCAGCGCTGCTCAGCCATACAGTCACAAGAGTAAACAACTGATAGTCTACAGTGTACTGAATTCAATAAAGTACATGAGCCATTCAACACTCTATGATAAAACAGGCTTGACATTAGATGATTTTGCCCAACTGTAGGCCAGTGGCAGTGTTTAGAGCACCTTTAAGGTAGGCTAGGCTAAGCTGTGATGTTTGGTGGGTAAGGTGTATTAAATGTATTTTCGATTTACAATATTTTCAACTTCCAATGAGCTTACCACGATGTAGCCCCATCATAATTCGAGGAGCATATGTATATTGCAACTTATTTATTTTTATTTTGAGACAGTCTCGCTCTGTTGCCAAGGCTGGAGTGCAGTGACGTGATCTCTACTCACTGCAACCTCCACCTCCCAGGTTCAAGAGCTCTGCCTCAGCCTCCCGAGTAGCTGGAATTACAAGCACACGCCACCACGCCTGGCTAATTGTTTTATTTTTAGTAGAGACAAGGTTTTGCCATGTTGGCCAGGCTGGTCTCAAACTCCTGACCTCACGCAATCTGCCCACCTCGGCCTCCCAAAGTGTTGGGATTACAGGCGTGAGCCATGGCGCCCGGCCACTACCTTGCAATTTAAAAAGCAGCCACACTACCTCATAGTCACAAGTGATCCAGCAAAGCCTTTGTTATTGGGCAGCCGAATACTTCCTGGGGGTGGAGCTAGTGCTGGCCACAGCCCATGGCAAACACAGCATTTACCGGAAGCTTCAAGAGCACCCATCTTGCATTCTACTTCGTAATTCATCAGCGACCTTCTGAGATGTGCCACGTTTACTCCACTGCATTCTCGCAGAGTAGACGTTCCACCAGGAGTGAGGGAGGGTCTGACGTATCACCTTGAATTCCCTGTTGGTTATAGAGATTGCTTTTTCACTTTTTCAAAATTCAGTATGAATGGAAGTATAGACTATGAGGTGGTATTGATTTATCACGTTGGGTTCTCCTGTCCATTCCTGTCTGCTGGGGAGGAAGCTTCAAACCCATTCTTTCAGTTTAAGTGGTTTTCATCAGTGAATTGATGGTCATCTAGGCCCTGAGGCTGCCACCCAGGAGCCCAGGAGTGAGACAGAAAAGGGTGGAGCATCTTCTTTGGCTTTTTAAACTCAGCGCTAGCTCTTACTCCGTGTCCCTGTTAAAAGTCTAAGGTCCCTATGGGCCTGTGCTGCACCTTGCTTATTTTTCTGTCTCCTACAGCATGTGGGCAGTGCCCTGTACATAGTAGGCATTCAATAAATAAATGTCTGTTGTATTAAACAGTCATTTCAATATCAGGGTGCCAGCATGGTTAGCTCCTGGTGAGGGCCACCTTTGCATTTTGGCCCCACATGGCAGAGAGAGGAAGCAGGCTCTCTGGTGTCTCTTCTTATAAGGACACGAATCCCATCTTGGGGGCCCCACCCTCATAAACTCATTTAAACCTAATTGTCTCCCAAAGGTCCCATTTCCAAATACCACTGGATGTCAGAGCTTTAACGCATGCATTTTGGGGAGATATAATTCAGTCCATGGCAGTACCCAAAAAGTGAAATAAGAAACCAACTGTCGGCCAGGTGCAGTGGCTCATGCCTGTAATCCCAACACTGGGAGGCCGAGGCAGGCAGATCACGAGGTCAAGAGATCGAGACCATCCTGGACAACATGGTGAAACCCTGTCTCTACTAAAAATACAAAAATTCGTTGGGCATGGTGGCACGCACCTGTAGTCCCAGCTACTCGGGAGGCTGAGGCAAGAGAATCACTTGAACCCAGGAGGCAGAGGTTGCAATGAGCCAAGATCGCACTACTGCACACCAGCCTGGTGACAGAGCGAGACTCCATCTCAAAAAAAAAAAAAAAAACCAACAGATAATGAAATAACTTTCCTAATATCTGGTGAGTGTGCTTGGAATGGAGTAATTTTCATAGAGGCAATGTATTTTCAAATGCATGACCTGGAAGCTAGTTTAGAAATAACTCTTCTCTTCCGGCCCTGTTTCCGCATCAGACAGCCTTTCCTCCCTCCCCCACTTCAGTGCCTGGTGTTCTGTGGTCACTTCAGTAGTAACAGACCAAGGTGAATAACATGTTAACAATACAAACATCTACCATGACTTTATGCCTAACGCTCTGGTGTGCTTCTTTAGACTGGCAGATATCTTTTTTTTTTTTTTTGAGGCAGAGTCTCACTCTGTCACCCAGGCTGGAGTGCAGTGGCGTGATCTTGGCTCACTGCAACCTCTGCCTTGCAGTTTCAAGCGATTCTCCTTCCTCAGCCTCCCAAGTAGCTGGGATTACTAAAAATACAAAAATTAGCCAGGTGTGATGGCGCACGTCTGTAATCACAGCACTTTGGGAGGCTGAGGCAGGTGGATCACTTGAAGCCAGGAGTTAGAGACCAGCCTGGCCAACATGGTGAAACCCCATCTTTCCTAAAACCAAAAAAAAAAAAAAAAGCCATGCGTGGTGGCATATGCCTATAATCCCAGAGGCTGAGGCATGAGAATCGCTTGAACCCGGGAGGCAGAGGTTGCAGTGAGCGAAGATCATGCCACTGCACTCCAGCCTGGATGACAGAGCGAGACTCCATCTCAATTAAAAAAAAAAAAACCCTTCTAGGAAACAAAACAGAAGGTCTCTATCTGTTGATGACCCTTGACTTGGCTGTGTGCTCATCAGTGTCATTGTCTATTTGTTTGGGTTTATAAAAATCATTTGCTTCAAAATACTTGAGCTTTGTGACATTTCATTGAAAAAATTATGGAAACCTGAGATTGCATATTTTAGGAAAAGCAGTCTCTCATCACTTACCCTTCTTCCATTGTATTCTTCTTGCAGCCCAAGCTGTTGGCCAAGGAGCTTCTTGACCTTGTGGCTTCTCACTTCAATCTGAAGGAAAAGGAGTACTTTGGAATAGCATTCACAGATGAAACGTAAGTACTGCCTTGAGCCCTCACAGCCCGAAGGGAGAGTCAGTGCAGAACCCGAAACTGCTCCACTCCAGCTGTTAGCAGCGAAATCAGCTGCAGACCACTTGGGTCCCATGGTCTGGGGTCAGTCCAAGTTCATCATCTGAATTTCAAAGGCCTTGTGGTCATGCCTGGTACAGCCAAAGGATATAATTAGGGTGATACTAATATTATAAAATTATTAGGTAAACTAGTTCTAATAATCAAGCAGGTTTGTGTTCAGACTGAAATGTTTATTTTTTTTTAAGTGGATCTATGTGAGTTTGTTTTCTATTTAAGTTAAATGAAAACTTCTGGAAATGAAACATTTCTCTCTACTGTTGGGATAACAATAACAGGAAGTGAATTTGATGATAAATTCAAAATGAAAATAACCTGTGCAGTTTCAGTGTCTAAACTGAAATAAAGCGACTATGAAAATAAAAAATTCAGATCACTGATCTGATGAGAAGAATATTTGCTTTCAAGGGTCTTTTCAGTTTGGCTCTATAAAGTGGTGTTGTGTAATACAAGTAAGGAAAATCTTTACTAAAATTTCCATTTTCTTTTTAAGGTACTGTTATCAAAAGAGTATACTGAATACCTGTATAGATTTCTAGATAAAAATGAGCTATTCTAAGAAAATAGTTCATAATTCTCTTTCCTCTGTGCACACACGTACAGTCACAAACACACACACAGACTCTCTCTCTCTCTCTCTGTCTTCCAGATCTTCAGAAATACAGAGATGATTTCCTAAACTACTAATAGATCAGTGTTAGGTTAGTGGCCAGGCAAGACAGTACAGGGGAGCCGAGGCCCTGGGAATCAGGTGGTGCCACTGAAGCAAGAACAGGTGGGCATCCACATGGGCCAGTGAGAGAGGCAACCAGGTGTCCCTGCACATGGCTACACTTGGCCTTGGTGAGATGCAAGTGGAAGGGGTGGTCTTATGACTTATTATCCAAATTGAGACACTGAACAAAAGGGGGTGTCGTTGGGACTGTCTTGGGCAAACCGGACCATCTGGTCACCCTGTAAATCAGGGACATTTCAGGCTGTGGTGTGTTCAGAGAGCAGGCAGCAGGAGCAAAGCCACATCTTCCTCAAGAAAGCTGGGAGGAGCAAGGTGGGCCCCTCGTCCTGGAGCCTGCAGGGAACTGGAATGCAGGTGGGAGTGGCCGTCGGTGGGCAGGAGGAATTGCAGGCAGGGCCAAGTAAGCCCAGCTGGGAAAGGTTCAGGGCTGTGCGGGGAAGGACCCAGCACTGCAATTTTTTTAAAAGCTTTTAAACAAATGCACATGTAGAACAATTACTTTTACAAATGTAGATTATTCTCTCCCCTTTCTCCTGAGAATCACTGTAAACCACTTAAATTGCTGTTGAGACTATTTTCACTAATCAGAAGGAAACCCTAAGTTTCAATTAATCATAGCCCCATTGTTCACATTTCCCACGTAAGTTTACTAAAAGATCCCGTGAACTCTAGAGGAGGCCTGATTAGGCTTCCCTTTTGAATAAACAAGAATTGAAAAACGAACGTGTGATCCTGGGCTGAAGGGGAAGATGATGTGAGTCTGCAGAACATTTCAGATCACTGCCCTAACAGCACTGACTGGCAGGAATCGGACCTAGGTAGAAAGTCACTCTTCTCCCAGGAGGGTTGAGAGCACCAAAACCACACGTCACAGCAGGGGGTGCACACACCCAAGTTCAGCTTCCCCATCCAGCTAAGCTGGTACACTCCATGTCTGAGTTCTCCTGGCTCTCTGTGCTGACCAGGAAAGCATGTGCGTGCATGCGTGTGTGCGTGCGTGTGTGCGTGCGTAGAAGCCAGGCTGGATAAAAGTGTCTTGCCCCCTCTAGTAGTGGAGCTGGCTATGTGGAGGCTCTGTGGGGGGCAGTGATGAAGAGGAGTGAGCCATCCTTCTGGCATGATCCAGAGAAAGTGCAGCCATTTCCATCACCTGCCCCAGAGTCTAGGTGGGAGGGTCTCTCCAGCCACAGAAGGAGTGGCGGCCAGCCAGCTGGAGGTCACTAGAAAACCACTGGAGCTGGCAAAAGATTTCTGAAAAAGAACTAGCAGATGTGCCTGGTGCACCAGGGGAAAGGGCAGGTGTCAGGAGCCCAGAGGAGGTGAAGAGCTGGCTCCTGCAAGGCTGGGCAGTGGTGAGGCCGTGACTCAAGGGCTGTCAGTCCTGGCGGTACAATGCCAGGGCCAACAGACATTGGGAGTGCCTCTTTGTTCATCTGAACTTTTCTCCTTTTCCTGGTAGGAAAGAAGAACAAAAGCTGCCCCTGCAAAATAGTGCCCTTGGGTGTTCACCTGCTCTGGCTTGGTGATTCCTAGGTAGTAAGCGCTAGCCTTACAGTACTACATCCCCTGGCCTTGCTCTGTATCACGGGACACTACAGCAAAATTGTTTTATAACCGTGTTTTCTAATTCTGCATGTGTATTGTGAGCATGTGTGTGTCTGTGCTTTATACAGGTGCTACACTGTGTGTTTTACAGTAAAATGCAATCGTAGTTCCATTCTTTATGACAGCCTGTGGTGTATCACATGTATTTGTCTATTTCCTAATGCAAATAAAACAAGGCTATCACGTGGAAAGCACTTATAAACTGTGAAGTGCCGTACAAGTGCAAGATACTCTTACCAGCAGCATGATTGTTCCTGAGAGTAGAATTTCTAATAGTAGGCTGAGCATGGTGGCTCACACCTGTAATCCCAGCACTTTGGGAGGCTGAGGTGGACAGATCACTTGAGGTCAGGAGTTCGAGACCAGCCTGGCCAACATGGTGAAACCCCGTCTCTACTAAAAATACAAAAATCAGTCAGGCATGGTGGCATGTGCCCATAATCCTAGCTGTTTGGGAGGCTGAGGCAGAAGAATCGCTTGAACCCGGGAGGCAGAGTTTGCAGTGAGCCGAGAGTGTGCCACTGCACTCCACCCTGAGCAACAGAGTAAAACACTGTCTCCAAAAAAAAAAAAAAAGAATTTCTAAATAATAGAACGTGTGACTCTAGGTCATATATTGTCAGAGACTCTTTCAGAATTAACTGCTGTTGACATTTTGTGGGATCTAGATGAAACTGGAGAAAATATATATAAAGCAGAATGTAGACAGGAAATTGGAAATTTCTCTAAGCTTCTCTCACTCCATAAGTTGTATTCATTAATAAAGCATCTAAGTCACAGTGTAAGAACTTATGCCCAAGAATGTTTAATATTGTTAGCAATCAACAGTTTTGCAGCATTAATGCTAAGTCTGCTTTCTTTTTTTAATCTTTTAACTTTAGTTTTGAAATAGACTTAAAGAAGAATTGCAAACATATTAGAGTTCCTTTATACCCTTCACCCAACTTCAACAAATGTCAACATCTTGCAAACGACGTGACTTTCATCAAAACTAAGAAATGAACATTGGCATTATATTACTAACTAAACTACAGACTTGATTCAGATTTCCCCAATTTTTTACGAGTGCTCTCTTCTGTACAAGATTCGTTTGCATCTGGCCTCCTTTTATTTTTACTAACTCTGTCCTCAGAAAAAGAGATACAGGTGGTCATCTATATAAATTATCTGAATCGTGGTGATACATGCAAACAAAGACATTTTGGCACCCTTTAATACATCCTGAAACTAACCAAGAGCCAGTTATAAATCCAATGTTAAAATAATTATTGGCCAGGCGCGGTGGCTCACACCTGTAATCCCAGCACTTTGGGAGGCCGAGGTGGGCGGATCATGAGGTCAGGAGATCGAGACCATCCTGGCTAACACGGTGAAACCCCACCTCTACTAAAAATACAAAAAATCATCCGGGTATGGTGTCACATGCCTGTAATCCCAGCTACTTGGGAGGCTGTGGCAGGAGAATCACCTGAACCCAGGAGGCAGAGATTGCAGTGAGCCGAGGTCATGCCACTGCACTCCAGCCTGGGCAACAGAGCGAGACTCCATCTCAAAAAATAAAAAAAGTATTTATATTTTGCTAGAGTTAGGGATCTCAACCTTAGTTACACTTTGGAATTACCTGGGACACTTTATAAAATACCAATGCCTGGGACCTACCCCCAGAAATTCCAATTGAATCAGCTTGGGTGTGACCTCAGCTTCTCAGCTGATTCTAGCTTGCAGGCAAATTTGAAAACCCCTGTTCTAGACAGCGGGCATGTTGCAGTATTTCCTGTGCTCTCTCCCTCCAGAGCAAAGAAGAAAAGCTGATTCTACTTCAGCGTTGAATGTTGGGGTCTAGCAACGACTCATCCCAGGGGCCTGTAAAGTTACAGACCATCTCCCTTCTAGCTTCCATTCCTAACAGTAGGAGAACAAGCTTGGAAGTTCAGGTTTAATGTTTCCAGGTGTACAAATAGGGTAACTGAGATTTTCATTTATCAAACACTGGCATCCATCCCTTAGAGAAACTCATTTTTACATTTTTTTTTGAAATATTTCTATTGCTGTTTTAAGACTCAAATTTCATTTTTTTCTTAATTGTGGGCTGAGTGCAGTGGCTCATGCCTATAATTTCAGCAATTTGGGAGTCCAAAGTGGGAGGATCCCTTGAAGCCAGGAGGAGTTCAAGACGAGCCTGGGCAATAGCAAGACCCCCATCTCTACCACAAAACAAAAAAAAAAAAATTGTGGCTCACACCTGTAATACCAACACTTTGGGAGGCTGAGGTGGGCAGATAACTTGAGGTCAGGAGTTCGAGATCACCCTGGCAACATGGCAAAACCCCGTCTCCACTAAAAATACAGAAATTAAATGGGTGTGGTAGTACATGCTTGTAATTCCAGCTACTTAGGAGGCTGACACACGAGCATTGCTTGAACCCAGGAGGTGGAGGTTGCAGTGAGCCAAGATCACGCCACGCACTCCAGCCTGGGTGACAGAGTTAGAATCTGTCTCAAAAAAAAAAAAAATTAAAAATTAGCCAGGCATGGTGGTGCACAGTTGTAGTCCCAACTACTGAGGAGGCTGAGGCAGGAGGATCACTTGAGCCCAGGAGTTCAAGACTGCAGTGAGCTATTATTGCACCACTGCACTCCAGCCCTGGTGACAGAGTGAGACCTCGTCTCAACAACAAAACTAATTAAAATCAAGAAGTAGCTTGTGAGCCAGGGGGTGGGGTGGGAATGGAAGATCCCGTTATCAGAAGCTATAGCCTATAACTAACCAACTTTTAAGCTATTCAGCAGAAACAGTCAAACACACCCAAGTTGAATTAATGATTGTCATAATCTATTTAAATTTTAATTTGAATCTCCTGTCATAAATTTTAAGAATTGCTTGTTAAATGCTGTAAATAAGTATCTTTTGTGATTGATTTTTTGGGGGTTTTTTTTTAAGAAAAAAAAAGCCTTTTAAAAGTGTTTAGAAATATGAGGAAGAAAGAAAAGAAACTTGGTTAGCCATTACTCCAAATTTAAAAGACAAGTATAGTTAGAATTTATTTTCACATACCAATTAATAATATGGGCTGGGCTTGAGACTCACACCTGTAATCCCAACACGTTGGGAGGCTGAGGCGGGAGACTTGCTTGAGCCCAAGTATTGAAGGCTGCAGCAAGCTATGATTGCGCCACTGCTCTCCTGCCTGGGCAACAGAGCAAGACCCCATCTCTTAAAGAAAAAAAAAAGAAAGAAAAGAAAACGAGTAGCTTTTAACCTCTGATTTCATCACACCGCCTTTGAGATTTGAAGTTATATTCCCTTTCCTTCATAAAAGTTTACATACAAAATAAATTTTTGCTTACATTTTACAACACTCACAGACACCCTGCGGCCAGGATGTTAGTTTAAGAACCTAGACAGTAAACAATTAAGGATCTTTTCTTTCAGCAGACTGTATCCTAATTAATTGAATTGCCTGATTGGTGCTGTCTGGGGAGTCTGATTTACCCAAACTATTAAGGTTAAAATGGCCTGGCTGAGCACGGTGGTTCACACCTGTAATCCTAACACTTTGGGAGGCCGAGGTAGGCAGATCACAAGGTCAAGAGATCAAGACCATCCTGGCCAACATGGTGAAACCCCATCTCTACTAAAAATACAAAAAAAAAAAAAAAAAGAATTAGCTGGGTGTGGTGGCAGCCACCTGTAATCCCAACTAGTTGGGAGGCTGAGGCAGGAGAATTGCTTGAACCCGGGAGGCGGGAGATTGCAGTGAGCCAAGATCATGCCACTGAACTCCAGCCTGGCGACAGAGCGAGACTCCGTCTCAACAAAAAAAAGAAATAAAGAAAGAAAGAAAGAAAGAAAAAGTCCTGACTCATTGAAGATGCATCTTTAGAACCACTGCCAGGAAGGCTGGTGCACGGGAGCGAGCTTGGGTCTGTGCTGTCCTCAGGTCCTCGCGTTTGTTTCAACTGTGACTGGCATCAGCTGGGGCCTCTGAAAAGGGTTCAGTCATTCAGCATTCCTGGCCACAAGCTTATCTACAATTTAAAAATAAACAAAATAGAAAAGCAATTTTCCAGTGGCAGAAGAAACAACCACAAGACACAGCTCTGGGAAAGCAATTTATTTGGAAATAGGTTTGGGATTTCCACGTATTATCTGCTGGACAGTGAGAGAGGAGAAAGTCAGTGGCTGCAGCCTCCGTGCCTGGCTTGTAATAACTGCTTCTGGGAACGCGGCATTCGGTGTTCATTACCACCTCTCAGACGACCCATGCTGTGTTGTCGGAAACAACGGCAAACATACAACAGTACCTTATATTTAGTGACCAGAGAAGTGCTTGAGCATAGCTCTTTCTGTGTGCAGCTAAGATAAACAAAAAGAACGGTGCCCTCCAAGGAAAGCTTAGGGATGCGGCTTTCTCCCTCCTTTCCTTCCCAATGCAAATGACCGGAGGGAGCTGGGAACCTGGCACAGGTGAGCGGAGTGAATTCTTAATATGGAGACTGTTTGCTTAGGATGGGAGCTGTGTCTACACAGCAGTCCCTGAACCTACAAGAATATGGATCTGTGGGGCATATTGTGAAGCTGCTGTATTCATTCTCTTAACAAATATTTATTTAGCATCTGCTCTTAACCACTGGAGATCCAGAAAGCACTGGCCCTTGACTCCTTGTTGAGCTTGTGTTTGTAGATTAGGAAGTGATTCACAAAACGTGGTGTAGAAGCGCTAGAAAAGAAAATTGGGGGCTGGGTATGGTAGCTCATGCCTGCCATCCCAGTGCTTTGGGAGGCTGAGGTGGGAAGATTGCTTGAGGCCAGAAGTTTGAGGCCAACCTGGGCATCACAGCAAAACCTCTACTTTACAAAAAAAAAAATTTGTTTAATTAGCCAGGAGTGGTGGTGTGCACCTGTAGTCCCAGCTATTCAGGAGTCTGAGATGGGAAGATCACTTGAGCCCAGGGGTTCAAGGCTGCAGCGAGCTATGACTGCACCATTGCACTCCAGCCTGGGCAACAGAAAGAGACTCTGTCTCTAAAAAATAAAACATTTTTAAAAAGAAAATTTGGAATAGGCTTACTAAAACATAGTGGAGACAACAATTTATCCTGGGCTGGAGAGCCCATGATTTAGTAATCTGGTTTCCCCAGTATATACCCTACTTTAACCTTCCTGTATTATTAAAGGTTTATAGTGAAATCAGTATCACTGGTCTGTCCCTTTTTTTTTTTTTTTTGAGATGGAATCTTGTTGTGTCACCCAGGCTGGGGTGCAGTGGTGCCATCTCGGCTCACTGCAAACTCTGTCTCCCAGGTTCAAGTGATTCTCATGCCTCAGCCTCCTAAGTAGCTGAGATTACAGGCATCCGCCACCACACCCAGCTAATTTTTTGTATTTTTAGTAGAGACGGGGTTTCACCATGTTAGCCAGGCTGGTCTCGAACTCCTGGCTTCAGGTAATCAGCGCACCTTGACCTCCCAAAGTGCCTGGTCTGTCCTTGATGAACACACATACTATAAGACAAGGATACTAAATATATCAACATTCTTCCATTTGAAGAGCTCCTCTCCTCCCCTCCATCCAGCAACATCTATAAGCATTTCATACACTTGGCCACGTGTGGTGACTAACACCTGTAATCCCAGCACTTTGGAAGGCTGAAGTAGGAGGATTGCTTGAAGCCAGGAGTTTGAGACCAGCCCGGACAACAAAGCGAGACACTGTCTCTACCAAAAAAACAAAAACAAAAAAAACCTTTTTTTTTAATTACCCAAGTGCAATGGTATGTGCCAGTAGTTCCAGCTATTCCAGAGGCTGAGGCAGAAGGATCGCTTGAGCCCAGCAGTTCAAGGCTGCAGTGAGCTATGATTGCACCACTGCACTCCAGCCTGGGCAACAGAGTGAGACCCTGTCTCTAAATAGATAAACATATAAGAACTTCATCTCTTGCTTTGGATTTCTGTAGAAACTCATTCCATATGAAATTGCCTGTCTACAATAAAAACATCTAGAAGCTGTGCAGTGTCATTCTCCCCCTGGGTCTGGAAAGTGACGGATTCAGATAGACTTATCACACACCTCCACCCACCAGTAACTATAAACAAAGCTCTCCCTGAGGCCATCTCTATTGAAGGTGCCAACACTTGAACCAAAAATCTATTTGTTTTATATGTAGAAGCTAAAAGCAATATCTTAAATGAATGCGTCCAATTTCTATTGCCTGGAAGCAATTGCATATTTATTACTGACCTGACAGTTTGACCTACTGCAACCATAAACCAAATGAGCGTTATCTTGCTCAGCTTTAAAGATAGTTATCAGTCACATAATAACAAAAATACTCTGAGTGGCTGCTGGGATGCTTTTTTTTTTTTTTTTTTTGCATTATTATTGGCAAAGGCAATGAAGTGCATTCTCAAATGAAAAATCAATGAGAATCATGAAAACCAAGCTATAAGGCATCTCTTAGTTAAACTGTATTAAGGAAATGCTTCTTTATGACTTTTCGTCCCATTCCATCCTAATGCAAAAGAAACATAAAAGGTTTGAGGGAGGCACTTGATGTCAGGACTGTAAAAGGTTAAATAGGAAAGCAAAAGCCTTTAGCAGTGTGGAATTCTTGACCCTGTAGAGTACAGGAAGTGTGACTTAGAGATGAGCAGAAAACAACATTGTAACAAGTGCTCCAGCCAAAAGTGGTGGCCCCAGAATTATGGTTTCCAGTTTGCTTTTTAATCCATCTTTCAGTTTTTGCCCAAATAGTGGGCAGTTTTCATCAGGGTCTTGGATAAGTCACATGTCCCTTCAGTCTGCCTTTATAAGCAGCCTTCATTGAGAGACTTCTACAAGCCTTTAAAGTGGAGGCAGCTGACCTCCTTCCTTCAGAGAATCCGAGGACTCCAGGTTTGGGAAAGTCTGCCTCTCCATTAGCCACTGGAGCTACGCAAGGCCATGCATCGTGATCCCCTCATGGGATTGGAGTGGACGAGTTCAAGCAGGGGAAGTGGAGGAAGGAAATTCATTTGTCCTCAGAGGCCAACTATTCCATGTAGGATCATATAGGTGTCATTCCAGCTTCCATGTTCTCTTTGCTTCCTGACCATTTTTTTTTTGAGACAGGGCCCCACTCTGTTGTCAGTGAGACAGGGCCCCACTCTGTTGTCAGGCTGAAGTGCAGCGGTGCAATCTCGGCTCACTGCAACCTCTGCCTTCCAGGTTCAAGCGATTCTCCTGCCTCAGCCTCCCAAGAAGCTGGGACTACAGGCACGTGCCACCACACCTGGCTAGTTTTTGTATTTTTGGTAGAGACGGGGTTTCAGCATGTTGGCCAGGATGGTCTCGATCTCCTGACCTCGTGATCCACCTGCCATGGCCTCCCAAAGTGCTGGGATTACAGGCATGAGCCACTGTACCTGGCCCATTTTCTTACTTTCCTTTCTAGTCTATTTAATTGCTTGATAAATGTTAAACCAATAGATGGCCGGGAACAAAGGAATTGCCAGTCAGATTCATGGCTTAAAAAGTCATTCTTTTAGACAGTTTAATGTGGGGAATAAAGTTTTCTAGAGGGGGAATCCATCTGTCTGTTTGTCCTCTGTGGATGAAGAAGAATTGGCAGTGCGTAAACCCAACAGACTGGAATCCAAATGACATCTGTCTGTGTCCCTTCATGCGACATGTCCCCACCTTGAAGTTCATCACATGTGAATGGTGACCCCCAGGGACCTAAGTCTAATCTCTTGCAGTGTGTGTGGTCACTCATATGCCAGTGGAGTGGTATGAGGATATCTCAAGCCTGGACCATTGACTAATCTTGAATATTCCACAAATGGAATATTCTCTCTCTCTCTCTCAGGTCCTCCTTATTCTTTGAGCTGGTGGCCAGAGAAAAATCACTGTATTTTTGTATCATTCCAGTCTGTGGGTGATTGAAAGCCTTGTCTTGTGAGAATAATGAAAAGGTTATTCCCATCAGACTGTTTATCATAAAATATGGTAAGACAAAAGATGAATATTTAAGCCTACATTGTCATTGGATGGCTTGCTCTTGCAGGCAGTCATTCAAATCAATGAGCAAATACTTCTTTTGAGCACCTAACAGTTGCTATACACTGTGCTAGGTTTTGGGGGATAATTTCTGTAAATGTTGAAAACTGATCGTTGAGAGATAGGTCATGTTTTTTGTTTGTTTGTTTTGTTTTTTGAGATGGAGTCTCGCTCTGTCACCCAGGCTGGAGTGCAGTAGTGCCATCTCAGCTCACTGCAACCTCTGCCTCCTGGATTCAAGCAATTCTTCTGCCTCAGCCTCCTGAGTAGCTGGGATTACAGGCATGTGCCACCACGCCTGGCTAATTTTTGTATTTTTTTTTAGTAGAGATGGGGTTTCACCATGTTGGTCAGGCTGGTCTCGAACTCCTGACCTCGTGATCCGCCTGCCTCAGCCTCCCAAAGTGCTGGGATTTCAGGTGTGAGCTACCTCACCCAGCCTAGGTCATATTTTTTAAAAATAACTAATTGTACAAGATTATGCCAAATGCCTTGAAGATGACACACACCAGAAGCCCTGGAGAAGTTTGAAAGAAACCCCAGACTTAGGCAATCAAGGAAGACTTCACTGAAAGTAAGACTTGAACTCAGCCTTGCACAATGGCTAAACATTCAGATAAAGGGATGGAGAGACAGTTCTCCAGTTCCAAGGAGGAGAGGCAGCATGAGTGAAGGCCAGGCGCATGCCATACACATGGTGTACTCGCAGGAGGCTGAGCCCCAAGAGAAGACCCACAGAGTTGGGGGCATTTTCAGAGGCAGGAAGGAAGTGGTTGCAGCTTAAGATAATTTGTCTGACACCTTCCAGTTGACCAGACATGCACACTTTCTCCTCATGAGGTAGATCTCGTGGCATTTTCCAGATATAGAAAGTCAACTGGTGCTGGGCACAGTCATTCACCTCTGTCATCCCAGGACTTTGGGAGGCCGAGGCAGGTGGATTGCCTGAGTTCAGGAGTTTGTGACCAGCCTGGGCAACACGGTGAAACCCTGTCTCTACTAAAATACAAAAAAATAGCTGGGCATGGCGGCCTGCGCCTGTAGTCCCAGCTACTCAGGAGGCTGAGGCAGGAGAATTACTTGAACCCGGAGGGCGGAGGTTGCAATGAGACTAGATCACACCACTGCACTCCAGCCTGGGCAACAGAGCAAGACTCCATCTAAAAAATAAAAATAAATTTTAAAAAGTCAGCTGGGGAAAATGAATGCATAGAGAGCAAGTTCTGTAGACTGGGAAGTGCAGAAATGGGTGAGCCCCTAGGGTGGGTGCTGTAAGGGTCGGAGGAGGACCCCCCCATCCCACCCGGTGTGTGGTGTGGGAAGACTTTCTGGAGCGGAGACGTGAGAGCTGAGTCCTGCGGGATGGGCCGGACCTCACTGGGGAAGAAGGAAGGGAAAGGCCTACTGGGACGAAGGAACAGCATGAGCTAAGGAACAGAAGTTTGAAATATCATGGAACCTGTGGGGCATTATCAGGCATGGGCAGAGATGACATTGGCACCCAGGCCTTCTGTTTCCTGATCTTGTGTTCTAGTCAGAACAGAATTTATCCCAGCTTTCTGGAAGAAGTTGCTCCTGTTATTTTACTTACAATACTCTCTTCCATTTATTTATTTATTTATGAGACGGAGTCTCGCTCTGTCACCCAGGCTGGAGTGCGGTGGCGCCATCTCGGCTCACTGCAAGCTCCACCTCCCAGGTTCATGCCATTCTCCTGCTTCAGCCTCCTGAGTAGCTGGGACTACAGGCGCCTGCCACTATGCCCGGCTAATTTTTCGTATTTTTTAGTAGAGACAGGGTTTCACCGTGTTAGCCAGGATGGTCTCCATCTCCTGACCTCGTGATCTGTCTGCCTTGGCCTCCCAAAGTGTGGGGATTACAGGCGTACAGGCGTGAGCCACCACGCCCGTCCTATTTATTTATTTTTTCTTGAGACAGAGTCTCTGTCGCCTAGGCTAGAGTGCAATGGCGCGATCTCAGCTCACTGCAACCTCCATCTCCCGGGTTCAAGCGATTCTCCTACCTCAGCCTCCCGAGTAGCTGGGATTATAGGCACCTGCCACCAGGTCCAGCTAATTTTTTGTATTTTTAGTAGAGACAGGGTTTCACCATGTTGGCCAGGCTGATACCAAACTCCAGACCTCAAGTGATCCGCTCGCCTTCGCCTCCCAAAGTGCTGGGATTACAGGCGTGAGCCACTGCGCCCAACCCTTTCATTATTTTTTTTTTACTTTTCCTATATTCAGAGCAAGGTAATAAAAAGATAAAGTTAATGGAATTTTTTTATCCAACTGGAGATTCTTAGAAAGAGGAAAAACAGGCCAAAGTTCTTCAGGTGGTCACTATTCTAAGGCAGATCCAAAAGTCTTCCGTATAGCCACAGGTATGGGCTTTGTGGAGGGGGATTTTTTTTTTTTTTTCTTGTGCGAAAGGTGCAGTTTGAGTGAAGCCTCAAAAAGG